>NC_000001.11:238153818-238305333 GCF_000001405.40 Homo sapiens
GGAGAAAGATGCTCGCTATTTCTATCACAGTGGCCAAGAAATAATTCTATCCTCTAATATGGAGAGAGATGCTGTCTTTAGCTTCTAAGGCTGTTTTTTGCTCAGAGGACCTGGACCATGTAAGCTGTTCATGGATAATTATCTCCCAACAATGACTTTTATGGCAAATAATAACTTATTAGATGTTACTAAAATTAAAGAATTACTGCCTCTTCCTGTGGCTTCCATCTTCTTTCCACAGTTGGTGTTAGTCAACTGTGACATGAGCAAAGTTTCAGTCTGGTCAATTATTCCTTCCCTCTGAGACTCTTTGCTTTAGTGGTCAACCCAAGACAGCTTATCTGTGTCCTCAGGAGCCTCAGAGACCTGTCTTGTCAAGAACCAAACGTAAGTTGCCTTCCAGAAAAGGTCCTCGGGTTTCTGAACCTTCTTTCCCTTCTCTTCTATACATTATGCCATATATAGCTCTGTGCCTAGATTCCTCAGAGCACAGCATTTCGGTCTGCTGAACTAACAGAAGCTGAAGGGTCAATTAGTGTTTGTGTCTTTCAGTGTCATCCTTCCTACACCATCTATTTTATTCAGCCTTCTTCAGTAAATGAATTCAAAATTATGACTAGAGATTTTAGGCTTCTAGAGACTAGATGGAAAGATAATTTGAGAATGATACAACAGGAAAATAAGCAAATCCAACTTCTATAAATTAGGGCAATGCTTTATAAGCTTTTTTTTGAGCATCTACCCCACTGATTAAAAAAATTGAGTGTGAACTCTTAATAGATGTATTTTTGAAATGATTAACCTGTTACTCCCCCTATGTATTACATAAATTATAAAACCTAAAATAATGAAATTAAAAGGGATGAGAAAAAATGATTATAAATAGGAATTTTAATATTTGTTCACACACCACAATAGATAGTCTTTTACAGGACACTTTAGAGGCCACTGATACAGACCTAATAGGATCTCATTAAATCCCTGTGTTGCCTACGACTGTTAAGTCAGGACTGTGAAGGGTCTGAGATTTTACCCTATTAGAAATCTAATCAGTTAGCCTGTATGATGAATTAGTCAGAGTTCTCCAGAAAAAAAAAAAGTGTTTGTGTGTGTGTGTGTGTGTGTATATGTAGTGTGTATGTGTGTATACATATATATACAGAGAGAGACAGAGAGAAAGGTAGAGTTTTATTACATGAAATTGATTGGCTCGTGATTATGGAAGTTTACAAGTCTCAAGATCTGCAATAAGCACATAAACGTGCTGGAAGCTCAGGAGAGCTGACAGTGTAGTTCCAGTTTGAAGTCTGGCAGGCTCATGGCCCAGGAATAGCTAACATTTCAGTTTGAGCCTGAAGACACAGAAAAAGCCAATGAGTCAGTTTGAAGGCTGTCAGTCGGGTAGAATTCTCTCTTAATCATGGAAGGGTCAAATTTTTGTTGTTTCCAGGCCTTTAACGGATTGAATGAGGCCCATCTACATTATGAAGGGCAATCTGCTTTACTTAGTCTACTAATGTAAATATTAATTTCACCTCAAACATTCTTCTATGGTTTGGATATGGTTTGTTTGTCTCCACCAAATCTCATGTTGAAATGTGAGCCCCAGTGTGGCGGGGTTTTGGGGTGAGGCCTATTTGAAGGTGTTTGTGTCAGGGAGAGTGGGTCCCTCATAAATGGCTTGGTGCTATTCTGGCAGTAGTGAGTGAGTTCTTGCTTTTGAGACTGGACTGGTTCTTGGGAAATGGATTAGTTCTCATGAGAGTGGGTTGTTGTGAAGCCAAGATACCCATGGGATTTGGTCTGCCTTTGCGTTTGCTTGCATTCCCTTTCGCCTTCTCCACCATGTTTTGATGCAGCACAAAATCTCTTACCAGAATCTGAGCAGATGCTGGCACCATGCTTCTTGTTCAGCCTGTCGAGCCATGAGCTCAGTAAATCTCTCTCTTTTTTTTAATATAAATTACTGATTCTCAGGTATATCTTTATAACCACACAAAACAGATTAAGATAAACCTTCACAGAAACACCCAGAATTATATTTGACCAAATAACTAGATACCCCATAGCCCAGGCAAGTTGACACATAAAATTAACTATCACTGATGGATTCTTTTAAACCTTTTATTATGAAAAATATAACATATGTAGAAATAGATGGCATTATGAACACCTATGTTTCCCTTTTCAGCCTCAACAATTGTCACGTCTTAGGCAATCTTATTTTATCTACAACTGATTTTCCACTTTTTTATTATTTTGAAGCAAATCACAGATGTCACATTATTTTATTTGAGGCTGAATGATTAACTCAAGAATAATTTTTTGCTCTCTCTCTCAGTAAACAGTAATTCTGGCTTCTCTACTCACTATATGAGAGTGGCTCAGTAAGAAAAAATTAACACCCCCCAAAAAAGCCAGTGAAGGAAATTTAGTGAAAAAATAATTGTCTTCTAAATGTAATGCATGAAGCCAAAAGAAGTACAGACTGTAGTTTAAAGAAAAAGTGTAATCAACAAAGACAAAAGCTGAAATCCCAATGAAGTTAATGGAGATAAGAAATTAATGAGTCCCCCAAATTAAAATTGTATAGCACAATTAAATAGGCTTTGTCATGCATATTTGTGGAGCATATGTGTTAAGTATATCTTAATTAAACCTGGGAAAATGAAATCACTGATGCGTAGAAGAAATTTAAAGACTCAGAAAACTTTTTGAGATTCTACAGAGGAAAATGATAAGGAGATGAGTCTACACAATTAATAATAGAGAAGGCTAGAATTAGAGATCCAAAGTAGAGGTAAGTGGTGTTTCTAAGGAAGAATTCAGATCCACTCATTCAAATGAAGAATAATTAAAGGTATAACTGAAGAAAATTTGCTTGAATTAAAAAAATACTGGTATGTCTTAATCAAATAACACATCCTCTTGTATACAAAAAAGGAATCAATGAAAAAAGATTCATAATTAGAGACATTCAAGCAACACTTTTTCCTTACAAAGATAAAAAAAACCACATGAATACAAAAAATCAAATTATTTATATGTAGTGAAATCAGATTGCCCTTTAAATTTTCCTTTCTAACATTAGATATCAGAAAAAAATGGAACAGTGTGCCTAGAGTTTTAAGTAAAGAAAAGTTGAAATCCAAGGATTTCTTAACAATAATATAAAAACTAACTCAAGATGTAGAAAGAGTGGTCTAATCACAATGGAGGAACATTTTAAAACTTTTTAAAAGGCTACTTGATTTTTTTAAAATGGTGGCACCAGATAGCTTTATTATAATTTTTTTTCGAACTTTCAAGATAATTTCCATGCTATATGTATTAGTCAATTTTCAACTACTATAAAGAACTTTCCTGACACTGGGTGATTTCTAAAGGAAAGAGGTTTAATTGACTCACAGTTCAGCCTGGCTGGGGAGGTGTCAGGAAACTTACAATCATGGCAGAAGGGGAAGCAGGCACCTTCTTCACAAGGTGACAGGAGAGCAAACAGCAGGGGAAACCACCATTTGTAAAACCATCAGCTCTCATGAGAACTCACTTGCTATCACGAGAACAGCATGGGGGAAACTGCCCCCATGATCCAATCACCTCCCACCAGGTCCCTCCCTCAAAATGTGGGGATTCTAAGGATACAATTTGAGATGAAATTTGGGTGGGGACACAGAGCCAAACCATATCAGTATATAAACTATTTCAGAGAGTATTCCAATTCTTTTTATTAAGCTAATATAATTCTTATTTTAAAATCTGAAGAAACTATTGCAAATATTATTTTAAAATATTACACACATTATATATTTATATTATATATTTATATTTTATTATATATTTATATTTTATATAGGTTACATATATCTATATATATATTTGATGTAGATTGTCTCTCTCTCTCTCTCTCTCTAGCTATATAGATAGATAGATAAATAGACAGATACTAGGAACACAGAGGAGAGCATGATGTATAATCTGCCTGGAAAGTTTGGGAGATACTAAAACACAATAAAACAGGATTTTTTATTTATACGACTTCTCAGAGCTTTTAATTTACTAGTGTATATTGCATATCTCAAAGAGAGGGACATTATAAACAGTGTTTTTCAAACATACTTTGAACACAAAATCCTTTTATAAGTGGAGTGTCTTGTGATATTGTGATATACTTTGGAAATACTATCATAATCAATATATCCTCTATAAATATAATTGTTTTTTTCAAATCTGTAAAATTGTATTAAAACATGACAAATAAAATGTGGATTAATGGCCACAACTAAATGATAAAGGTTAATATAAAATAATTTGTTTATAAGGAGAGTCATCATTAAAACAAAAGTCATACTGTGAAACATTTTCTCATTATCTGCTGTACTTTAACAGGCTTTGCAAACTTTCTTAAGCAGGTTTTTAAAATTTTTGTGGGTACATAGGTGTACATATTTATGGGGTACATGAGAGGTTTTGATATAGGCATGCAATGTGTAATAGTAACACCATGGAAAATGGTGTATTCGTCTCCTCAAGAATGTATTCATTGTGTTACAAACCATTATACACTTTTAATTATTTTTAAATATACAATTCAATTATTTTGACTATTGTTACCCTTTTGTGTTATCAAATACTGGGTATTATTAATTTTTTCAAACCATTTTTTTGTACCCATTAAGCACCCCCACCTTCCCCACACCTCATACTGCCCTTCCCAGCCTCTGGTAACCCCCCTCCTATTCTCTAACTCCATGTGGTCAATTGTTTTGATTTTTAAATTCCACAAATAAGTGGGAACATGTGGTGTTTGTTTTTCTGTGCCTGGCTTATTTTACTTAACATAATGACCTCCAGTTCCATTCAGGTTGCAAATGACAGGATCTCACTCTTTTTTATGGCTGAATAGTACTCAATTGTGTATGAGTAAGACATTTTCTTTAACCATTTACCTATTGATGGACACTTAAGTTGCTTCATAATCTTGGATATTGTGAACAGTGCTGCAAAAAACATGAGAGTTCAGATATCTCTTCAATATACTGATTTCCTTTCCTGTGGTATATACCCAGCAGTGGTATTGCTGGATCATATGGTAGCTCTGTTTTTAGTTTTTTGAGGAAACTCCAAACTGTTCTTCCAAGTGGTTGTAATAACTTACATTACCAACAATGTACATGGTTCCCTTTTCTCCACGTTGTCTCCAGCATTTGTGATTGCCTGTCTTTTGAATGTAAGCCATTTTAACTCAGGTAGGTGAGATAATATCTCATTATAGTTCTGATTTGCATTTCTCTCATGATCAATGATGTTGAGTACATTTTCACATGCCTGTTTGCCATTTGGATGTCTACTATTCAAATATTTTGCCCGTTTTTGATTGGATTACTAGTTTTTCCTATAGAGTTGTTTGAGCTTCTTTTCATGTTATTAATCCTTGTCAGATGGGTAGTTGAAACACTTTCTCCCATTCTGTGAATTGTGTCCTCACTTCGTTGATTGTTTCCTTCACTGTGTAGAAGCTTTTTAACTGGATGTCATCCTATTTGTCCATCTTTCCTTTGGTTGCCTGTGCTTGTGGGCTATGACTCAAAAATTTTTTGTTTAGATCAGTATCCTGGAGAGTTTCCTTATTGTTTTCTTGTAGTAGTTTCATAGCTTGAGGTCTTAGATTTAAGTCTTTTAAACATTTTTATTTGATTTTCATATATGGCGAGAGATAGGGGTCCAGTTTCATTGTTCTGCACATGGATACCCTGTATACCCTGTATTCCCAAAACCATTTACTGAAGAAACTGTCCTTTCTCCAATGTATGTTCTTGGCACCTGTCAAAAATGAGTTTACCATAGGTGTATGGATTTGTTTCTGGGTTTTCCATTCTATTCCCTTGGTTTATGTGTCTGTTTTTATGTCAGTACCATGCTGTTTTGGTTACTGTAGCTGTGTAGTATAATTTGGAGTCAGGTTATGTCATTTCTCTAATTTTGTTCTTATTGCTCAGGATGGCTTTGGCTATTCTGGATCTTTTGTGGTTCCACATAAATTTTAGAATTGTTGTATCTACCTCTGTGAAGAATATCATTATTTTTATAGGAATTGCATTGAATCTGTAGATTGCTTTGGGTAGTATGGACATTTTAACAATATTGATTCATCCAATCCATGAACATGGAGTTTTCATCCATATTTTTGTGTCCTTTTCAATTTCTTCCGTCACGGGTCTATAGTTTTAATTGTAGAGATCTCTTGCGTCTTTAAGTTAACTCCTAGGTATTTAATTTTATGTATTGCTGTTGTAAGTGGCATTACTTTTTTATTTCTTTTTCACATTGTTCAGTGTTGGCATATAGAAATGCTACTGATTTTTATATTTTTATCTTGTATCCTGCAACTTTACTGAATTTGTTCATCAGTTCTAATTGATTTTTAATGGAGTCTAGGTTTTTTTCAACTATAAGATCATATATTCTTCAAACAAAGTTAATTTGACTTCTTCCTTTCCAATTTTGATGTCTTTTTGTCTTTCTCTTGTCTGATTACTCTAGCTAGGACTTCCAGTACTATGATGAATAACAGTGGTGACAGTGGACTTCCTTGTCATGTTCCAGATCTTATAGGAAAGGCTTTCAGGTTTTTTCTTATTGAGTATGATACTAGCTATGAGTCTGTCATATATGGCTTTTATTATGTTGAGGTATGTTCCTTGAATCCTCAGTTTTGTGAGGATTTTAAGCATGAAGTGATGTTGAATTTTATCCAAAGCTTTTTCAGCATCAGTTGAAATGATCGTATGGTTTTTATCCTTCATTTTGCTGATATGATTTATCACATTGATTGATTTGCATATGTTAACCCATCCTAGCATCCCTAGGATAAATCTTAATTGGTCATGATGAACGATGTTTTTAATAAATTGTTGAATTCGGTTTGCTAGTATTTTGTTGAGAATTTTTGCATCAGTATTCATCAGAGATATATGCATGTAGTTTGTTTGATGTGTCTTTGGCTTGTTTTGGTATCAAGGTAATCATGGTCTCATATAATAAGCTTGGAAGTATTCCCTCCTTCTCTCTCTACTTTTCAGAGTAGTTTGAGTAGGATTGGTACTAGTTCTTCTTTAAATATTTGTAGAATTCACCAGTGACTCCATCAGGTTTTGGAATCTTTATTAGGAGACCATTATGGCTTCCATCCTGTTACTTGTTATTGGTCTGTTTAGGTTTTGGATTTCTTCCTGGTTAAATCTTGGTAGGTTCTATGTGTCTAGGAATGTAACTATTTTCTGTAGATTTTCCAATTTAATGGCATATGGTTGCTCATAGTAGCCACTGATGATCCTTTGAATTTCTGAAGTATCGGTTGTAATATCTCCTTTTTCATCTCTGATTTTATTTATTTGTGTCTTCTCCCTTTTTGTCTTAGTTGGGCTAAAGGCTTGTCAATTTTGTTTGTCTTTTAAAAAAACCCTTTTTGTCCCATTGATCTTTTGTATTGTTTTCTTCATATCAATCTCATTTATTTCTTCTCTGATCTTTGTTATTTATTTTCTTCTATTAATTTTGGATTTGGTTTGCTCTTGCTTTTCTATGCTGTGTTTTCATTGTCATTTTCAAATTTCTTAATTGATTTACTTAATTGATTCAGGAGCGTATTGTTTAATTTCTATGTGTTTGTATAATTTCCAAAATACCTCTTGTTGTTGATTTCTTGTTTTATTCCATTGTAGTCAGAGAAGATGCTTGATATTATTCCAATTTATTTAAATGTTTTAAGACTTGTTTTGTGATCTAACATGTAATCTGTCCTTGAGAATGATCCATGTGCTAAGGAGAAAAATGTGTATTGTATTCTGCAACCTTTGGATGAAATAGTCTGTAAATATTTATTAGGTTCATTTGCTCTAAGTCCAGTGCTTCTTTATTGAGTTTCTGTCTGGGAAATCTGCCCAATGCTGAAAGTGGGATTTTGATATCTCCAGCTATTATTGTATTGAGGTCTAGCTCTTTCTTCACCTTTAATAATATTTGCTTTATATATTATATTTACATATGGAGCACCTAAATATATGCTCCAGTGTTAAGTGCATATATTCACAGTCATTATATCCAGTTATGGGATTGACCCCTTTATCCCTATATAATGACCTTCTTTGTCTTCTCTTACAGTTTTTGTCTTAAAATCTATTTCTTCTAAATATAGCTTCTCCTGCTCTTTTGGTTTCTATTGGCATGGAACATCTTTTTCCTTCCCTTCATTTTCAGTCAATGTGTATCTTTATAGGCAAAGTGTGTTTCTTGTAGGCAACAGAACAATGGGTCTTGTTTTTAATCCATTCAGCCACTCTGTGTCTTTTGATTGAAGATTTAGTCCATTTACATTTAATGTTTTTACTGATATGTGGAGGCTTACTCTTGCCATTTTAAAATTTGTTTTGAGGTCTTTCTTTTTTCTTTCCTGTCATCCTTTTAGTAAAGGTAATTTTCTCTGGTGGTATGATTTAATTTCTTGCTTTTTATTTTTGTGTCTCCATTTTGTTAATATGTGTTTCAAATTGAGGTTACCATGAGGTTTGCAAATACTATCTTGTAACCCATTATTTTAAACTGATGCCAACTTAACACTCATTGCATAAACAAACAAACATGCAAAAAGAAAACTAATGGAAACTCTACACTTTAACTTCATCCCCCCACTTTTAAACTTTTTTGTTCCTATTTATGTCTTATTGTACTGTCTAGGACTTGGAAAGTTGTAGTTATTATTTTTTATTAGTTCATTGTTTATATTTTCTGCATCTGATAAGAGTAGTTTACACACCATGACAGTGTTATAACAGTCTGTGCTTTTCTGTGTGCTTACAATTATCAGTGAGTTGTACCTTCAGATGATTTCTTATTGCTCATAAACATCTTTTTTTTTTCAGTTTGAAGAAACCCCTTTAGTATTTTTTTTAGAAAAAGTCTGGATTTGATAAAAATCCCTCAAATTTTATTTGTCTTGGAAGGACGGTCTTTATTTCTCTTTCATGCTTGAAGGATACTTTCACCAGGTACACTAGTCTAGGATAAAAGCTTTTTTTCCTTCAGTGCTTTAAATATGTTATGCCACTCTCTCCTGACCTGTAAGGTTTCCACTTAAAAGTCTGCTGCCAGATTTATTGGTGCTCCATTTTATGTTATTCATTTCTTTTATCTTGCTGCTTTTAGGATCCTTTCATTATCATTGACCTTTGGGAATTTGATTGTTAAATGACTTGAGGTAGTCTTTGTTGGGTTAAATCTGCTTGGTGTTCTGTAGTCTTATATTTGGATATTGATATCTTTGTCTAGGTTTGGGAAGTTCCCTTATTATTCCTTTGAATAAACTTTCCACCCCTATCTCTTTCTCTACCTCTTCTTTAAGGCCAGTAACTCTCAGATTTGCCCTTTTGAGGCTCTTTTATAGATCTTATAGGCATACTTCATTGTTTTTTCTTTTTTCTTCTGTCTCATCTATCTATTTCCAAATAGCCTACCTTCAAGCTCTCTAATTATTTCTTCTGCTTGAACAATTCTGCTATTAAGTGATTCTGATGCATTCTTTAGAATGTCAGTTGCATTTTTCACCTCTAGAATTTCTGCTTGATTCTTTTGAATTATTTCAATCTCTTTGTTAAACTTATCTGATAGAATTCTGAGTTCCTTCTCTGTGTTATCTTGTATTTCTTTGAGTATCCTCAACACAGCTATTTTGAATTCTATGTCTGAAAGGTTGTGTATCTCCGTTTCTCTAGGATTGGTTCCTGGTGGCTTATTTAGTTCATTTGGTGAGGTTATATTTTCCTGGATGATCTTGATGCTTATAGATGTTCTTCAGTGCCTGGGCATTGAAGAGTTAGGTATTTATTGTAGCCTTCCCAGATGGGGTTTGTGCCCAGTCTTATTGAGAAGGCTGTGCAGGTATTCAAAAGGACCTGGGCTCCAAACCAAACAGCACTGTGGTTTTGCAGACTCATAAGGCACTGCCTTGGTGGTCTTGGATAAGATACAGAAGAATTATCTAGATTACTAAGCAGACACTCTTGTTCTTTTTTCTCACCTTCTGTCTAACAAATGAAGTCTCTTTCTCTCTGTGCTGAGCCAGCTGAAAATGGGGGTATGGTGATGCAAGAACTCCTATGGTCACCACCAGTGGGACTGTGCTGTGTCAGACCTGAAGCCAGCACAGCACTTGCCTTGCCCAAGGCCCACTGTAATAATTACCTGGTTACCTGGCTACTACCTACGTTCACTCAAAGCCCTAAGGCTTTACAATCAGCAGGTGGCAAAAACAGCTAGGTCTGTGTCCTTCTTTTTAGGGTGGTGAGTTCCCTGAGGCCCCAGGCAAGTCCAAAGATGTTGCCTGGGAGCCAGGGATTGGAGTAAAAATACCTTAGAAATTTGCCAGATATTCTTTTCTACTGTGGCTAAGCCGGCACTCAAACCAAAATATAAAGTCCTTTCCATTCTTCCCTCCCCTTTCAAAAGGCAGAGTAGACTCTTTCTGTGGGCACCACCACCATCAGCTCATGGGTGTGGGGGGTTCTGCTAGTCCACTGTCCATGTTCACTTAAGGCTCAAAGGTTCTTCAGTTGGCTTGTGGTGAATGGTGCCTGACCTGGGACTCACCCTTCAGGGAAGTGGGTTCCCCTCTGGCCCAGGGCAGGTCCAGAAATACTGTCTAAGAGCCTAGGCCTGGACTCAGTGAACCCAAGAGCCTGCTTTTTGCTCTACCCCACTGTGGCTGAGTTGGTACCTACATTGCAAGACAAAAATCCTTTTACTTTTCCCTCTGCTTTTCTCAAACAGAAAAATTCTTTCACCACAGGTACCACAGCTGGGAATGTGCTGAGTTGCACCTGTATGTCTCACTGCCAAGGCCCATAGAATACAATCTGGGCATCACTGCTTTTTTTGGGGGGTCCAAGGGGCTTTGGTCAGCAGGTGATGAATCCTTCCAGGACTGGTTTTGTTTTCCTTCAAGGCAATGGGTTTTCTTTTGGCCCAGGGTATGTCCCAAAATGTCCAGGAGCTAGTGCCTGGAATGGGGGCCTCACAACTCTGCCTGGTGCCCTATCCTGTTGTAGCTGAGCATGTGTCCAAGACGCACAACAAAATCCTCTTTACTCTTCACTCTCCACCCTTTAAGCAAAGGAAAGATACACTTTTGTTGTTGTTGGCTGCACTGTTTGGGGTTGGGGGAGAGATGGCACAAGCACTTCTTTAGCTGCCTTGGCTGCTGTCTTCAAAGGTTATGTGCCACTCTAGTTTACAGGCTGTCAGGCCAGCCCAGCACTAGAAGTTGCCAAAAAATTGCAGTCTTTGAGGCCTAGGCTGCCTTTCAAGTTTGCCTAGGATCCTAGAGCACTTTGGCCCCACAGTGGGAAGGCTTGCTGAGAAACTTGAGTTCTGATCAATGGGATGGGCAATTCCCCTCTGGCTAGGTCTAGTCCACATGCTCTCTCAGTGCATGGGCACTGGCTGAGTCCAGCACGGTTTTACCCTCTGCTGTGAAAGGGCAACACTGTGTTCAATGTAATGTCTCCTAGTAACTGCTCTCCCTTTCCAAAGTACAGATGTTTCTCTCTGCACCACTTCTGCTGGTGAATGGCAAAAGGGTGGCATTGGCATTTAGAGACTATCTCCAACCCTCCTCAATGCCTCTTTCAATAATCTGATGTTAAAACCAGGTACTGTGATTGCGCTCTTGAGTTTTGGTTCTTTTCTGTGTGCAGATAGTTGTTAAAATTTGATGTGCCTGTGGAAGGTACAAATAGTGTAAGGCTTCTATTCTGCCTTCTTTCTCCACCCTGCTCCTTACAAACTTTTCATGCCAAGCCACTGTTATTGAAACTAATCAAATTCCAATTTTTCTTCAAAAAGCTATAGATTTATTTATTTATTTGTACCAGTCTATGAATCTTTATGTTCTAAAGGCACCCTTTAACAGTAAAAATATGAATTTGATAGAAGTTCTAATGGTACACATGAGAAACTTTGGCCTTGTAAACAATTTTGTTTTCAATTATAATTAATTTAAAGCACATCTATTTGACATAATCCTGAAGAAGAACTGATGTTACTCATGGAAAAATGATTTACAAGAACACAACTTCCTATAAAATTATGTTTTTATTATAGCTTTTCTCTTCAGCTTAATTTTTCATTATTTTCTAAGGAATCAACTCTATTTCCACAGAACATTAACATTACCGTACTTATACATTTTTATTTACATGTTTATTTCATATCAGTATTTTCAATTCAGAAATTACTTGCAATAATTTTGGCTGGGTGCAGTGGCTCATGCCTGTAATCCCAGCACTTTAGGAGGTCAAAGCTGGTGGATCACTTGAGGCCAGGAGTTTGAGACCAGCCTGGCCAACATGGTGAAAGCCCTGTCTTTACTAAAAATACAAATATTAGCTAGGTGTGGTGGTGGGCACCTGTAATCCCAGTTACTGGGGAGGCTGAGACACAAGAATCACTTGAGCATGGAAGGCGGAGGTTGCAGCGAGGCGAGATCGCACCACTATGCTCCAGCCTGGGTGACAGAGTGAGACTCCATTTAAAAAAAAAAAAAATTACTTGTGATAATTTTAAAAAGAATAATGCTGGAATATGAGCAAACAAGCTTTCCCCTGCTTGTTAATGAGTGGGAATGTAAAATGTTTCAGGTTTTATGAAGGACAATATGACAAACTATATAAAGAGCTTTTAAAAAACTTGTTTACTTTTGGTCCATTGATATTTAATTTTAGGAAAATAGTTAAAAGTCTAATATTTGGAGACATGTTAAATAAATTATGAAGCATTTGTACCCGGAATACTATGTAGACATTGTAGGTTAGAGTACTATATAGTTATTTATATAAGTATGTGAACTACATATATTTATACGTAAAGATGTTAAAATCTTCATGATATATTACTAAATAATAAAAGCAGGATCAGTTTATGTAAATACATACAGATATCCCATGACAAGCACCACCACCAAACTAATAATAATGGTTAACTGAGTTTGTTTGGATGACTAAATATTATTTGGGCTTTGTATATCTTTTACAATTTTTCCACGATGAACTTGCACTATTTATGTGAAGGGCAAATGAATAAATACCTTTAGAAAGAAAAAAAGACATCTTATAAAATTGCACATTTGATAGCTCTTTGCAAGTGAAGCCTCTGAAGATGTGTGTTTTGGGTCAATAATTAGAAATATTTTCTTTTCACAATTCTAGATGGACTTTTCTTATACCAAAGCTTGTGCTTTACAAAAAGCAATGCTGCCGCCATAAAATGTTCACCTGCCTATGTTTGTATGTTTTCTGAACTGTGAATTGCCCCATTTGTACTTTATTCCATGTCATAGATGATTGTTAGATGGGTTGATGTCATGACTGCAAAGTCAATCTTTACAGAAAAAATATTTCATAAAGAGGAGGTTAGTATCTCAATCTAAGTGCTAAAACTTTCTTTGTAGCATTTTTTCTTGCTGGTCTCCCAAAAGTATTTATTCTTTTTCATATTTTGCTG
Organism: Homo sapiens; assembly: GCF_000001405.40. Lineage (NCBI taxonomy): Eukaryota > Metazoa > Chordata > Mammalia > Primates > Hominidae > Homo > Homo sapiens. Next base: position 238,167,373 of record NC_000001.11, read on the forward strand.
TAAGTTTCTAAAAGTAGAGAATGTTGTCCTGCTATATGACATGGTATTTGGCTCCTGACCCACTGTAAACACTCGATGGTGTGTCAAACAATTCCATATTCAGTAGCTTCTGGATACATGAGGCCACGTCTTAAGGTAATCAGGAATTGTATTTACCCTTGAGAGATCTGTTCTAAAGGGTAGAATGCCTTTGATGCCCATAATCTTCCTATAGACAAAAGGCTTCAGAGGACAAACTACCTTTATGGGAGCTCAGAAAGTTATATTAGTCAGAGCTCTTTCAGTTGCAAGCGATATAAGTCAATGAAACTACCCGAAGCAAAAAATATGTAGTGGCAGGATATATTGCCTGATTTAACTAAGAAGTCCAGTCATGGCCGCACTTCAGTTATGATAGGTTCAGTCAGCTCAAGTGATATCACCAATTCTCTCTACCCGTCTCTGGGTAATCTTGTAAGGTAACACTCTCACAAATCAGATGGAACTGCCTCCAGGTGGCCAAGATGTTAACTGGCAGTCTCAGCTTAGAAAATGAAATGAAAATGGAAACTTTTTTTCCCCAAAGATCTATTTATCAATTCTAGGATGTTATCAGCCCTGCCTGGGTCCCTTATGGTACCCATAGGTCAAATCACTATTGCTTAGGATGCTAATTCACCCACCTAATTTACCTTCCCATCGCCGTGGCTATAAGGAGGTAGGAACTATCTATCAGTTTTAACACCCACCTAGAACATTGCTGGCACATTGTAAAGCTCAAAAGTATTAATTGAATAAATGAATGCTCACTATATAAAGGGAAAAGAAGAAATGAACTAGCATTTATGTGTTGGGCACTATACCAATAGTTATACATAGTTTACTTACCTAATTTCTTTCTTTATGAGGCTTATTTTAGAGAAAAGCAACCTGAAGTTCAGGGCATTATCTTGCCTTGCTCCTAGTACAGAAATAATGAGTGCAAGAGCTGAGTATTTAAGCCTTAAATTGGGTTTTTTTCTGTGCTTTCTTGGTATAACCTTTCTATCAATGTTTTTCCAGTTCCTAAGTTCAATAGCTGTATGTCATGACAATTCTCACATTCATTTCTCTTGAAAGATCTTTCTCCTGATTTCCATTTCCTTATATTCTCCTGATTTCTGGACATATCCACTATGACATTCCTCAGGCACTTTAATCACAGTAAGTCCTCAGCTAAACGTCATTTTCCCATTCTTCCTAATTTAACCTTCTTCCAATAGCCATTATCATGATGAAAGGGCATCACAAGCAAATGTAGTTCCAAAGTCAGAAACGCGGGGATAATCCCAATTCCTTCCTCATCCTTAATAGTTATATGTAATCGTTTGGCACATCAAATCAATTCCATCTTATAAACATCTTTCAGACCTATCCTTTTCCCTTGGTCTCCCTTACCATTGCCTTAGTTGGATTGCAGTGTATGTTGTCTTTCAAATTTATCTTATATGTCAAAATCTATAGATTTTGCAACCAAAATGATATTCTAAAAATGCAGACCCTATCATTTCTCTTTTCTCCAAATTCAAACCAAACAGTGATTTTTCTATTGCCTACTAGTTAGTACAAAATTTATTGTAATACAAATGTATGCTGGTATACAAAATCTATTGTAATATATTCCCAACTCTATCTCAGTCCTCATGTGTCACCCTTCATATCTTTGAACCTACTGTCCTAGGCATATCCAGTCTTCAGAACGAGTCTTGCAGTGTCATTTCTTCCTGTCTTTGGACAACATCCTCTAATTCTTTGATAAACCTTTTCTGTCTTTCTTATCTTCAGCATGCTGTGGGCCCCATGTAGATGTTTCCCTGTTTAGGAAGCTGTGTCCCTGACGTGTCATCCCCAAGCTGGATTAAGTGTATTGAGTTCTCTTGTGTTCCAACTGCACTCTCTGCTTGCTGGATCACAACATTTATGATGTATCTTCCTTTCACAAGAATAAATGTGATGCTTTGCTTTTCTGTTTCTCTCATTAATTGAACATGTAATGGGGCATAGATTGTCATTCTGTATTCCCATAGACTAACCAGTATTTGGAAAATGGGAGCCTTAAAATATGTCAAATGAATGAATAGGCTGAAGTTTAGAATACTTTTAAACATCTTGGTTAAGAATTAACCCACATACAGATTGAGTATTCCTAATCCAAAAAACCGAAATTCAAAATATTCAAAAACTTTGTAAGTGCTGCCATGGCACTCAAAGGAAATGCTCATTGGAGCACTTCAAATTTTGGATTTCTCTTATTTTCAGATTAGGCATGTTCAACCTTAAGTATATTGCAAATATTCTGAAATCCAAAATAATCTTAAATCTGAAATGCTCTGGCCCCAAGCATTTTGGATAAAGGGTCCTCAATGTGTACCATATATCTAAATCTACTGGGGCTACTGTAAGACAATACTTTAGACTGAGAAGCTAATCAACTAAAAAAAAAAGTATTCTCATAGTTCTGGAGGCTTAGAAGTTCAAGATCAATGAGCCAGCCAATTTATTGTCTAGTTAGGGCCTGCTTCTTTCATAAGTGGATGTCTTCTCATTGTAACCTCACATGGCTGAAGGGGCCAAGGAGCTCCCCTGGGCCTACTTTATAAGGCACTAATCCTATTCATGATGACTCTGCCCTCATTACCTAGTCACTTTCCAAAAGGCCCCATCTGCTAATACCAACACCATAGGGGTTAGGATTTTCACATGTGAATTTTGGGGAGTGACCCAAACATTCAGATCATAGAATAATACATTTCACCCATTTAAATTGTACAATTCAATGCTTTTCACTATATTCACAATATTGTGAGCCCATAACCATCATCAAGTTTAGGATATTTTCATCATACCAAAAAGAAGTCCTGTACCCTTTTAGCAGTCATAGACCATTTTTTTGCATACTCACAAGTCCGAGGCAAACACTAATCTACTTTCTGACTCTATAGATTTGCCTGTTCTGAACATTTCATATAAATGGAATCATGCAATCTATGATATTTTGTGACTGGCTTCTTTCACTTAGCAAAATTTCTTCAAGATTCATTCATGTTGCATGTGTCAACACTTCATTCCTATTTATTGCCAAATAATATTTCATTGTATAGATACACCACATTTTGTGTATCCATTCATCAGCTGACAGACATTTAGGTTATATCCACTTTTAAAACTCTATTGATGTAAGCATTTATTGCTATAAACATCCCTCTTAATACTACTTTGCTGTATTCCATAGGTTTTGGTATGTTGTGTTTTTATTTTCATTTGTTTCAAGATTTTTTTTCTTCTTAATTTCCTCATTGACTCAGTGGTCATTTGGGAGCATGTTGCTTAATTTTCATGTATCTGCACAGTTTTGAAAGTTCCTCTAGTTATTGATATGTAGTTTTATTATATTGGGGTCAGAAAAGATACTTGATATGATTTCAATTCTTGTAAATTTGTTGAGACTTGTTTTGTGGCATAATATGTAGTGCATCCTGGAGAATGTTCAATGTTCTGATGAGAACGATGTGTATTCTTTAACTATTGGATAAAATGTTACATTAATGTCTGCTAGGACCATTTGGTCTAAAGTGAAGTTGAAATCCAATGTCTCTCTTTTTAAAAATATTAATTCTGTGCCTACACTTGCCTAGAAATCCAATGTGTCTTTGTTGATATTCTGTCTAGATGATCTGTCTGTTGCTGAGAGCAGAGTGTTGAAGTCTTCAACTATTATGGTAGTGGAGTCTGTCTCTTAAGATATAATATTTGCTTTATATATCTGATTACTCTGATGTTGGGTGCATATATGCTTATAATTGTTATATCTTCTTACTAAAATGATATTTTTTATCATTGCATAATGACCTTTTTTGCCTCTTTTGAAGGTAGTCTTAATGAATAGTTCTAATGCTTATGAATACAACTGAGAACAAGTTTGGCTTGAAGATAGGACAACCATTTACACATTTTTGGCTCTAGATTAAATAACTTTATTTGGTGCTCATTCAGTACTTGGATATAAAAATTAAACAAAAATGATCGATTTTTGTTTGGCAGTTTTTCAAATTTGAGGACGTATGAATGACATGGAAGTCATTCAGAAGTCCTAGTGCAATTTGCCATAACAAATTACAGGAGAGGTCTTCCCTAGAACTCCAACTTGTGTAAACTTTCGCTTGTTAGAAAATATTACATTTACATCCTGTTTCCTTGGATTTCATATCAGTCTTTCTAAGGCGTCGGTTCCAATCTCTTCCTATCTTAAAGCACAAGAGGACAATGCCTTGTCTTCCTGGGCCTGTTGCATTTTTAAAAAATTTAAACATAGCTTCTTACTTCAGTTTGTTATATAATCAGTGTGAATTTTCATAATTATCCAGTCTTATAGCTTGACAACTAATTGTCAAAAATAATTAACTATGATTTGGGGAAGTGTTTTGATTTATTTTTGGGTCTTAGGGATAGATTGGCTTCCTAGCTGGATATAAAAAATCTACTATGGATGTTTTAAATTCCCTGTTAATTTTGGCACAATTTAAATTTCCCTAATTCTTCCACCTGAGTGAAAAGAAGGCAGCATCTAATTTTATTTCAATGCACAAAGCTATTTCCGAGTGCACAGTCAAGCCTGCCAAAGATTATTTTAAAATAAGTGGTTGTTTTGGAATTTAACTAACGATAAAAACTAACCTCTGTTCCTTTTTTTGACAATCTAATTGAGAAAAATTGGTCATTTTACATTGTGTATGCCTCTTTGAATTGCAATTTTGATGTAAATGTAGCTTCTTTGCATATGGTACATAGAATGAATAAAACAAATTAAATATCTGGACTATTACCAATGTGAGGAAATTGACTGATGTGAGTATGCAGTCCTGTGTGTATGTGTGTGTTTTAACCAGTGATAAGTTCTGGTGCCAAAGAAATGCAGAGCTCAGATGGATAAAATGCAAGAAGCAATAACTTGTTTATGAGCAAGATTTACTTCCAATTAGATATTAGCTTGATATCCTATGATATTTCAAATTAGAAATCTATAAACTGCCATAGAGAAAAGAAGCATACATCATTTTTTAAAATCCATGAATTCTTCTTTGATTTTGCACTTTTAATTCAAGGTCACCATAAACAGCACATTTTCATTTATATAAATATAACTGTATCAATGTGGTTTTAGGTGAATTCATCATTGACAAATCTAAAATTGTATTTTGAAGAATGTTGAGAATTTCTGGGTCACATTCTGAACTTGTTGAGGAAAACATTATAGAATATAGGAAAAATAATTTTTTTCCAAACATTCCTCACTGTCCTTGTGTAGGTCTAGATTGATTTATTGTCTAACTCCATTTATTTCTTACATTCTCATAAACTATCAGAATATTCTTTTTCTATTTTTAATAAATTTATGAAGTTTTTTAAACCATCATCACAATTCAATTTTAGAACATTTTTATCATCCTTCCAAATTCTCTTGCTCCCAATTGTAGTTAGTTTCCTTCCTCCTCTATCTCCATGGCTAAACAACCATAAGTCTCTTTCATTGTCTAAAAGTTTGCCAGTCCTTGATATTTTATTTAATAAAGTATACAGTATTAGAGTTTTGCAGCTGATTTCTTTTACCATGTTTTGCCCATTTTAAAATTTGGCTGTTTTCTTATTATTTTGTTGTATGAGTTATTTATATTTATATATTCTAGTGATATGGTTTGATTCTGTGTCCCCATCAAATCTCATGTTGAATTCTAATCCCCAATGTTGGATCATGGGGGTGAATTCTTCATGAGTGGTTTAGCACCATCCTGTTTGGTGCTGTTCTCATGATAGCTTCTCATGACATCTGGTTGTTTTAAAGTCTGTGTAACACCTCCCTCCCACCTCCTGCTCCAGCCATGTGAGATGCGCCTACTTTCCTTTCACCTTCTACCATGATTGTAAGTTTCCTGAGGCCTCCCTAGAAGTAGAAGCTGGTGCAAAGGACGTGAATTTTTTCTTTTTTATGGCTGCATGGTATTCCATGGTATATAGGTACCACATTTTCTTTATCCAATCTGCCACTGATGAACACTTAGGTAGATTCAATGTCTTTGCTACTGTATTCCTACATTATGAGTTCTTTTAATCTTCACATGCATTGGGTTTTAAAAAATTAATTTTCTGTATTGTCAGCCTAAAATAATCAAAAGGCACAGGAGCCAGTTAAAAGTATTTATTTAAGTGCAAAGTGTGAGGTTGACCATCTGGGGAGCAGACCTATGCCAAAGAATGGTAAACAGTGTTCCTAGTGTGAAGGAAGATGAAGATAATTTATACAGGCAAAAAGGGAGGTGCTGAACAGAGTTACATTTTCCATACAAAGGGCAATATACAGATATAAGATTTGATTGGCTACTATTGATTATACTCTAAAGGGATTTCTTAACATTCTATTGTAAATAGGTAACAATCACAAGGGTCTCTATTTTCCAATGTCATATACTCTATTTGACTAAAGAGTAAAGGGTCAAGTTAACATATAAAATATCAACACAAAGATCAGAAAGCAACAATTATGCACCAGAGAAGAAAAACAGCCTTGTTACCTGGTGTCAGTTTCCAGGGCTTAACATTTCTCCATGACCTAAAAAATTTGGAAGGTCCTGAAATTGTATTTTCTTTTTACCATATCTAGTGAGATCAACATTGCTTTCATCCTTTTTGTATTATGTATTTTGTCCTTTGTGTATTGCGTTAGTTGATTTTCAGATGTTAAACCATTTTGTGTTTATGACATAAATCCCACTAGGTCATGGTGTATAACCCTTTTTATATGTTACTGGATTTGATGTGCCTATCTTTTATTAAGAGTATTTGTAACACATATTTATGAGGGATATTTGTCTGTGGTTTGTTATGTTTTTGTTTGGCTTTGCTATCAAGGAAATCCTGGCCTCAGAGATTTGAGTATGGAAGTGTTCCTTTCTTCTCTGGTTTCTGAAAGAATTTGTGAAGTATTTGTATTGTCTCTATTTTATTTGATAGAATTCACTGGTGAGGTCACCTGAGCCTGAGCTTTACATTGTGGGAATATTTTTAGTTATTAACTCAGTGTCTTTACTTGTTATAAATTCATTCACATTTTCTTTTCTTTTCTTTTCTTTTTGAGACGGAATCTTGCTCTGTCGCCCAGGCTGGAGTTCAGTGGAGCGATCTCAGCTCACTGCAAGCTCCGCCTCCTGGGTTCACACCATTCTCCTGCCTCAGCCTCCCAAGTAGCTGGGACTACAGGCGCCCGCCACCACATCCGGCTAATTTTTTTTGTATTTTTAGTAGAGACGGGGTTTCACGGTGTTAGCCAGGATGGTCTCAATCTCCTGACCTCGTGATCCACCTGCCTCAGCCTCCCAAAGTGCTGGGATTACAGGCGTGAGCCACTGTGCCTGGCTGATTCACATTTTCTATTTTTTCTTGAGTGAGTTTTAGTACTTTGTGTATTTCTAAAAAAATTTCCATTTTGTCTAAAATGTCTATTTGTTGGCATGAAGTTGTTTCTAATGTGCACTAAGTCCTTTTAATTTCTAAAAGATGTGTAGCAATGTTTCTCTTTCATGCCAGAATTTAGAAATTTGTTTTGAAGGAAACGAAAATATTTTTTACCCCAAAACATACTTCTCTGACATATTTCATGATGACTATTCAAAAGGGCTGGAAATACAAAAACAGCTGAAAAGCTGTATTTTACGGGGGAGATTTATATCTGTAGGGTGTTAAAGCAAACTAAATATGCCCTGAGAAGGCCTCTGCACTTCTGTATTTGAGTACTTATAGATGAACTGTAACCTAGCTTAATAGTCAGACAAAATTGAAACCTTACTTAATAGTATGCACCTGTAACAGTAGCTGAGTGTTGGCCAATCCCAGCGGCCATGCTTCAACCACTCATAGACTGCTGAATGTTCAAACTGCCTTCAAATAAAGCAAACGCTGAGCTGTAACCAATCTCACTGTTTCTGTACCTCACTTCCAATTCCTGTACGTCACTTTACCTTTTTTTGTCTATAAATTTGCTCTGACCACGAGACACCCCTGGAGTATCTGTGAATCTGCTGTGATTCTGGGGGCTGCCCATTTCGCAACTCATTCATTGCTCAATGAATCTCCTTTAAATTTAACTCAGGTGAAGTTTTTCTTTTATCAAGAGGCAATCTGCGTTGACACTGCCAAGCCTTTTCTGAGGTCCCTCTCCTGTTTGAATCTAAGAAAGATTAACTTTGAGTTGGACACCTTTACCATTTTTTAAAAATGAAAGTTACTTTCAGCATTTTTTCTCTCTGAGGGCTGCTATCTGCGAAGTTTCATCTGCCTAACAAGAGCACCTTTGCCAGCCAGGCATCCTTTTCTGTGCCGCCCATAATCTGTTTTGCCATGATCCAATCCCCTATTCTTTGTGTGACCTAAAGATGGTATAAAAGCACCAATCATCTTGCCTTTCTGTGATATCTTGTATTTTGGAAGACTCTTGTGCATAGTAATACATTTGTATTCTTTTTCTCCTATTAATCTACCTTTTATCAATTGATTTTCAGTGAATGTTCAAAGGGCAAGTTTTCCCTTGGCCCCTATTGCTTTCATTTCTTATTGCTCTCTTTATTTTTTCTTCATCATAAAACCATTTCTTTCTTTTTTTTTTTTTAGATGGAGTCTCACTCTGTTGCCCAGGATGAAGTGCAGTGGCACGATCTCAGTTCACTGCAACCTCTGCCTCCTGGGTTCAAGTGATTCTTCTGCCCTAGCCTTCCAAGTAGCTGGGATTATAGGTATGCACTACCATGCCCAGCTAATTTTTGTATTTTTAGTAGAGACGGGATTTCACCATGTTGGCTGGGCTGGTTTCGAACTCCTGACCTCAGGTGAGCCGCCTGTCTTGGCCTCCCAAAGTGCTGGGATTACAGGCATGAGCCGCTGCACCTGGCCCCATCAGAAAACAATTTCTAAGAAAATTTTATAAAATCAATTAAGGGAAAAAATCTAATGAGGCTCACAGCAGCAGTCATTAAGCCAGTTTGGCCTATTTCTTTGTAGCTAGTTGCTACTTACTACCCCAGGATAGTGTGGTTCTTCTTACAAGACTGTCCTTTTTCTGTTCTGTGGATAAAATCTAAGCCATTGTGAGATGATACACCTTCTGTTTGGGCTACTTCTTTAGATTCTGCATACCAGCAAAACTATGGATGCCAGATGGTCTAGAGGGCCCAGTAAGAAGCTGACTCAGGGAGGAATGCATTTTCCGCATCCTGATGATTTCATCCCCTTACCCCAACCAATCAATTCAGGAGAGCAAAGGTCACCTGGTAACTAGAATTTCTATGCATTTCTGAAATGCATGCATGCCAAAACTCATTGTGCAACCCTTGCCAACATTAAGGCATTTAAATGTCTGCAAAGGTAATCATTTATCGTGCAAATGACCCTTTAGCTCCTACTTTAATGTCCATAAATATCACTAAGGAAAAATCCACCTGGGCACACTCAGTTCCTTCTTGCTGTGGCGCCCCACTGCACTCTTCTGCAGCATTCTTCCTTCCTAATAAAACTTTCTATTTTCAAACCTATACAGTTATCGGTAATTTTTTTTCTTTTCTTTTTTTTTTTGAGGTGAAGTCTCACTGTGTCACCCAGGTTGGATTGCAGTGGCGTGATCTCCGCTCACTGCAACATCTGCCTCCTGGGTTCAAGTGATTCTCCTTGAGCCCGCCACCATGCCCGGCTAATTTTTGTATTTTTGGTAGAGATCGGGTCTCACCATGTTTGCCAGGTTGGTTTGGAACTCCTGACCTCAAGTGATCCACCTGTCTCGGCCTCCCAAAGTGCTGTGATTAGAGGAGTGAGCCACTGCACCCGGCTGTTGGTAAATTTTTGCAAACCCGACAGTTGACCACTTTCTGATGCTGGGGCTGGCATCTTGGTGGCCCATATGGGGACTTTACTGGCATTTCTGCCTTCTTTTTTCCTTCCAGCTCCCCTCAGTGGTCTAATTCTTTACTCTTGGGAACTGAAGGTTTCTGGCCTAGGCCACTCTTCAGTGGGATCTTGAGGCCCCAGAGAAGGGATTCCTGTCTGTTGTTGTCCTTAGGGGTAAGAGACTGGCCAGACTGCATTCTCTTTTTGGACTGCCAGTGAAGCAGCTGGAGTACTCTTTGGCAATTGAGGGTTTCTGGCCTAGGGCACTTCCTGGTGTTACCTGAAGGTGAAGACAGAAGAACAAATTCGCTATTGCCTGTCAGGATGGCAAGTTCCCTTTCTCTCATTATCCTTTAAACCATGCCTTGGAAACAAGCAGCAGCCATATGAACTCTGCACAGACATACTCTACTGATCACTGATTGCAGACCCATTGTTTTTTTAATTCAACAAATATTTATGAAGCATCTTTTATATGCTTCCACTTTTCTAGGTGCTTGGGATTCAGCAGTTAATTTTTTTTAAACAAACTTTTTATTTCCATAGGTTATTAGGGAATAGGTAGTGTTTGGTTACATAAATAAGTTCTTTATTGGTGATTTGTGAGATTTTGGGGCACCCATCACCTGAGCAGTATATACACTGCACCCTAAGTGGACCCAATTTTGGATTCCGCTTCATCACAGCTCATCACAACATCCCATATAAAGGGTGAGTTCTCCTTCATGTTAGGTCTGACCACTGAAACAAGGGCATGTCTGGACTGGTCATCCAGGCAACGGCAGATGCATTATCCCTGGTGGGATGCCTCTGAATGAAGTGAGACAAAGAGAAAAGGAAGGTCTAAATCCCTCAGGAATGCCTCAGGGCTCTTATAGCCCTTTAACAAAACCCAGCATGGGTTCAATTCCTGTTTCAATTCCATCTGACTCACCCTTAAGTTGCGTTCTTAAATAGTGATCCCATTTTGACCCACAATCTCTCAAAAAGAAGCATATGATTTTCTTTTGTAATACAGCTTGGGTTCTGTATAAGCTCCCAATAATTTAAATTGGCCTCTTAATGGGACGCTGGATTGGAATATTATTTTACAACTAGACTCATTTTGCTGGAACCTTGGAAAGGATTCAGAGGTCCCATATGTTTGCGTCTTTTTGGCTTTATCCCAAACCCCAAAATTACATAAAAATTGTCGTGTATGCTTCCAACAAACTTCCTCTCTCCCTGATTCTGATGACTTAGATGATCCTTTCTTTTGCCTACCATACTCTCCTCAGCCCGCTCCCACATCACCTAAACTCTCTCCATTTGCCCCATTCCCTAATGAACCACCCTCATATCCAGACACTTTATCCCCCTCACATACTCGGACCGGAGTCACATATGCCACTAGTATAGAACCCTCAGGAAAATCTCAAAAATGTTTTGCCTCTCTGCAAGGTGGCAAATGGAAATTCGGGAACAATTAAAGTTCATGTCCCTTTTTTAATGTCTGATCTTTCACAAATTCAATCCAAATTGGGTTCATTTAGCTAGGATCCCTCTAAGTTCACTCAAGAATTTCATGCTTTAACTATTGCTTTTGATTTAACCTGGCAAGATATATTTGTGATATTAACTACTTGTTCCTATGAAGAAAAACTATGCTTTTTTTTTTTTTTTAACCGAGTTTCTCTCTTGTTGCCCAGGCTGGAGTGCAGTGGCATGATCTCGGCTCACTGCAACTCCACTTCCTGGGTTCAAGTGATTCCTCCTGCCTCAGCCTCCCGAGTAGGAATGCACCACCATGCCCGGCTAATTTTGTATTTTTAGTAGAGATGGGGTTTCTCCATGTTGGCCAGTCTTGAACTCCTGACCTCAAGTGATCTGCTCACCTTGGCCTCCCAAAGTGCTGGGATTACAGGCGTGAGCCACCACGCCTGGCCAACTATGCAGATTGTTACCAGTGGAAGGTATCAGAGTTACTGGTGGTGAATCCACATGGGTCTGCAGCAACCTCAATTCTTGCCTCCTCAGAAGAAAGAATTCACCTGAGGGTCATAAGACAGAAAAAGAGACTGAGGCAAGTTTCAAAGCAGGAGTGGAAGTTTTTTTTAAAAAGGCTTTATTTTTAGAACAGGAAAGAAAGGAAAGTATGCTTGGAAGAGACCCAAGCACCCTGTTTACCACTGATTCTAGGACTCTATACTATAAGTTGGCCCCTTTCCCATGATTCTTCCCTTAGGGTGGGCTGCCCACACACACAGTACCCCCCGTTACTCTTGGGAAGTGAGCACGCACAGTGTATTTAGGAAGTTGTATGCATGCCTAATGAGGCTTTCTTCCCTTGTCCAGTGGAGTGTCCTCAGAAGGTCATACTCTGCCATTTTGTCTCTTAATGCATATGCCTGGGAAGTTGCTTCTATCTGGTAACCTGCATTCAGTTAACACTTTGGTGCAATAGGTGTGGACCATCAGGAAATGGCCTCTCCCTGGCACTGGCTGCCAATTTATCACTTGCATGGAGAGGCAATGTGATAATTACCAAACCATCACCTGAAATTCCTAGTCATGGATGGGGGAGAGCCCTCTCCTGCCCTGCTCATGCCTGTATAACTACCTGTAACCATATGGTCTTTAGCTTAAGCTTGGGCAGATGAAGCTCATGCACACAATCCTAATGATAGTAGAGCTGGGGCAGAGGCTGTCCCCATCACAGAACCCAGTTGGCAAAACCAGGCTGCCGATGCAGGCCCAAAGAGGCAAGGGCAGACAAGATTATATAACTTATTTGTTGGAAAGAATGAAAAAAACTGTAATAAAACCTGTCAACTTTTCTAAATTATGAAAAATTACTCAGAAACCACCTAAGAACCCTACCCTTTCCACGCTAGATTGGTGGAGGTAATGAATAAATATACAGATTTAGACCCTGAAATCCCTGAGGGCCAATCCATTCTGGCATTACATTTTATAAGTCAGGCTTCCCCAGACATCAGACAAAACTCCAAAAATTAGAGCAAGGCCCACAAACTCGCTTTCCTGCTTTATTTAATACAGCTTTTAATATTTTCAATAACTGAGAGGAAACATCAAAAATAAAAATGTTCAATTGGAGGAGGAAAAATGCCATTGCCACGCTAATCACATGGTGACAGCATTGGCACATTCTTTTTCATTAGCCAATAGCCCCAGGGTTCATCCCTATAATACTAATAGAATGGGAGCTTGCCCTCATATCTGGATGCAGAAATCCAGGACACTGGAGTAGCGGATGTCCCAAACCTCCATGTTACAAGCCACCCCTAGGACCCTGTCCTCATGGCAAACAATCATTGGAACAGTAAGTGTGTCCCTCTCTCCCTCGTTGGTGGGTGGAGGGGCACCTATTCCTTCTGGACTGTCTCAGCCACAGCCTCACCAACCTGTCCAACAAGGGGGTCCTGCAGAATGAGGACAAGGGCAAGGGCAAGGGCAAAGGCAAAGGCAAGGAAAAGCACCTCTAACTCTATTCCTAGATTATGATTAAGCCTCTGAAGGTTATCCTCTAGATGACTGATGGGGTCTTGAGGCTGTCCAGGCCCCTATCTTTTCCATCTCTATGAATGAGCCTTGGGTTAATCTAACTGTGGCTGAGAGTTGTGGAAACTATTGCAACTCTCATTCCTTGGGGAGGTATTATTTACCATGAAATCCCACTGTGAGAACTTACTGACTCCCTTAAAATAGTCTTAGCAAAAACTAGTGCAAGTCTATCAGCACTAGGAAAGTCTTCAGCCTCAGTAGCAGGAAGGCTTTTGATAATAGATGAGCTCTAAATTACCACCTAGCTGAACAAAGAGGAGTCTGTGCTGTCATCAACAAAACTTGTTGCACCTACATTAATGTGTCTGGAGCAATGAAAACTAATGTCCAAGAAATTTTCAAACAAGCCAATTGGCAACGCACACTTTCCCAAAGTAACCAAGACTAGGCCAAAACTTTTACTGATTGGTTTCTAAAATTACTTGGCTTCTCCCATTCCTTGAACCTTTATTCCTTGTCATTCTTTTAATATTTGGTCCCTGCCTTTTTAATGCTCTCATTAAATTTATATCTTCCAGATTACAACAATTCCACCTACACATGACTATGCAATCCCAATACTGGTATGCAACAGCAGCTTCCATGTACATGGGGCCTCTTGATGGAACCTGGTCTTACCCCACCCCGCGAATGAATTTTTTACCTCCCTTCATTCCCTTCATTGCAGAGAGCAAGAAAGGGAAAAACACAACCTATACCCTCACCGCCTCCTTCCAGCAAGAAGTAGCCAGACAGACCCCATGTCCCTCTTCACTGTTGCGTTTTCCCTGTCTTGAGACCCTCATAGATATGAGCATGGGGGAATACAAAGGGTCAAAGATTTAACCAAAATATTTGTCAGTGGGATAATAAGGAAAAGAGAGATCACCCGGTGATCAGGCAGGCCCTGGAGACAAAAACCTCCTTATCTGAGGAATTTAGACTTCCTTATTATCTAAAGGCACCTGGTTCTCAGCTCCTTTTTAACTTAAAATTTATGGGTAACTAGAATTTCTCTACATCTCCAGAATGCATGCATGCCGAAACTCATGGTGCAACCCTTGCCAACATTAAGGCACCAAGATGTCTGCAAATGTAATTATTTGTCATGCAAATTGCCCTTCCGCTTTCACTTTAAGGTCCATAAATACCATTAAGGAAAAATGCCCCTTGGTGCACTCAGTTCTCCCTTGCTGAGGTACCCGCTGCACTCCAGCAGCATTCTTTCTATCTAATACAACTTTCCTTTTTCAAATCTATATTGGCAGTCAATTCTCACCAACCCATGAGTCAACCACTTTTTTGATGCCTGGGCTCTGACACCTCACCTGGCATCAATGACACTAAATTTTCCAGCCCTTTGTCCTCCACAGATCCCTTTAAAAATCCTTTTCCAGAACCCCTGGACCAAACAGATTTGAGGCATGAGAATTCCTCCTGTTTCTTCATTTGTCAACTTGCAATTATTAAACTCTTTCTCTGTTGCAACACTGCTGTTCAGTGTATTGGTCTGTTGCTGTGCAGTGGACGTATGAACCTGGCAGTCCTGTAACAATCAGTTTAATAAAATGTTTATCAGTTTTGTTGATCTTTTCATAGAACTGATTTTTTGGTTTTATTCATTTTCCCTGTTTTCTTTTCTGGTTTTCATTTAATTGATTTCAGCTCTTATCTTTATTATTTCGTTTCTTCTGCTTTGGGTTTGGTTTCCTCTGTTACTAGTTTCTTAAGGTGGAATCTTATGTATTTGACTTGAAATCTTCTTTTTTTGGTATTGGGTTTTACATTTATAAATTTCTCTGTAATCACTGCTTTAGCTGCATTTCATAAATTTTATATTATGTTTGCACTGCAATTTAGTTTAAATATTATCTAATTCTCTTGTGACTTTTTTTGACCCATGGATTATTTAGAAGTGTGCTGTTTATATTACAAACTGTCGTGGGTTCCTAAATTTTATTCTGTTGTTGACTTCTGATTTAGTTCTGTTGTTGCTGGAAAATATACTGGGTATGATTTCAATTATTTTAAATTTATTGAAACTTGCCTTATGGCCTAGCATATGGTCTAGTCTGGAGAATGTTCCATGTGCACTTGAAAATAATTTTTATTCTGTAGTCATTGGGTAGAGTGTGCTCTATGTGTCAGTTAGCCTGCTTCAGTCATCTATCTCTTTGCTGTTTTTCTGCCACGTTGTTCTATTCATTATTGAGAGTCAGATATTAAAATCCCAGATTGATTATTTTTGAATTTTGTTTCTTTTTTTATTCTGTCAATTTTTGTTTCATGTATGTTTTCACTCTCTTTTCAGATGTATATATATTTATAATTGTTATATTTTGCTGATATATTGACTTTTTTATCATTATGAAATGTTCCTCTTTGTCTCTCATAGTATTTTTTTGTCTAAATCTCTTTTCCTTGTTACTACTATAGCCACTCCAACTAAAGTGGCTTTGTTGTCTGGGGTGACACCCAAGGTTCATTGTCTCACGGCCACAGAGATCAAGGTCGTGGACACACAGAAAGTGAGGTTAAGAGTGGAAATTTAATAGGCAAAATAAAGAGAATAGCTCTCTGCTACAGAGAGGGGTTCCGGAAAAATGCGTTGCTGACCTGGTGTGAAATGCAAGGGAGTTATAGATGAGCTGGTGGAGAGGTGGTGTCTGATCTACAATGGGTGTGAAATAATGGTTAGAACCAGGTGTGGCATCTGCATCAGGCATGAATCACTGGCAGCCCCTGCCCCAATCTTTTATTATGCAGGTGGGTTCTCTGCCTGAGCTTCTCCATGTTGTCCATTTCTTTCTTACTGTACACATGCTAACAAAATAGGGAAGTTGGAGTTTCCATGGTGGACACGCCTGGCCCCCAGGTAGCCCTTTTCTATTGGTGCAGCTGCCGCCATTCCCCCATGCAAGCTTCCAGCTTCCTTATCTATGTTTGCAGCTCAATCTTTCAGGCTGCTCTTTGTTAGAAAAGAAATGATTTCTTGGGCTGGTTTTTGTTAGAAGGGAAGTTCTGCCAAGGACTCTTTTGCCCTCACTATCTGCCTACCTAATTTCTTTCTATCTTCTGTATCACAACCACCTTTTGGTTACTGTTTGTATGGCATATCATTTTCCATCCTTTGATTTTTCGACCAGTTTGAATCTTTGAAATGTAAATGTGACTTTGAACCTTAGATATCCAACAGCATATGGTTAGATCTTATTTGTAAATCAGCCTGCCTTTTAATTGGTGTGTTTAGACTATTTACATTTAAAGGAACTATTGATATAGTTGGATTTATATTTGCCGTTTTCCTTGTTTCCTATATGTCCCTTGTCTCTTTTGTTTCTAAGTCCCTCCTTTACTGCGTTCATTTACATTAAATAAATGTTATTTGGCATACCATTTTAATTCCTCTGTTGATAACTTTTTACTACATTTGTTTGTGACTTTTTTCTTTTTAGTGGCTCTTGATATTGTAATATGCATCTTAATTTAGCATAATCTACTTCAGATTAATACTAAATTTCAGTAAAATATGGTATTTTTTTCAAATAGAGCTTCATTCCCCATGTCCTTGTTCATATATGTTGTCCCACAGGTCTGTGAAGCTCTGTTTAATTTTCTTCAGTCTTTGTGTCTCTCTGTTATTCATACTGTGTAATATCTATTAATTTTTCTTTTATTTCATTGTTGTTTTCTTTTGCCATCTCAAATATACTTTTGAGATTTTCTCAGTTATTATACTTTTCAACTCAATAATTTCCATTAAAAAACAATGTATAATATCTTTACTGAGATTCTCTATTTAATGATTCATTGTTGTCATACTTTCCTTTCATTCTTCAAATATGTTTTTAAAAATTCTTTGGAAATATTTGTAATAGGTGCTTTAAAATCTACTTCTCCTAAATCAGACACTTGAGAACACTCAGTGGCCATTTTATTTGGCTGCTTTTTTTTTTTGCCCTGAGTATGGATCACACTTTCCTGTTTCTTTGTATGTCTTATAATTTTTATTGAAAACTGGACATTTTTGATTATGCATTGTAGCAGCTCTGGATTCTGATTTTTTTTTTTAATTTCACTGAAATTTGTTACTGTTGCTCTTTGTTTGTTTGTTAATTTGGGCTAAATTGGTCTGTTTTCCCCTATGTTATAGAACTGTAGAGTTTTTAAACATTCCTATTTTTATTTTTAAGCCTGACTCCCTAGGGGTTGGCCCTATGTCTACATAGCTTAGCTATCACCTAATGATTCGACAATTGTTGTGTTCAAATACCCCGAGCCAGTATGGCTTCTGTCCTCTGTTAATAGATCTAAACGTGGGCAGAGAGCACGTTAAAAGCCCAAGGTGTTTTCAAGTATGCCCAGCTTTTGCTTTCCCTTGGGCTCTTTTGTGTCTCCTCTGTTCATGTGTGTAGCTTAGTTTAAGCCAGGAGTTTGTGTATAGTTTATTCCCTCTTTGATCTCCTCTGTGTTGGTGGCTTCATCCAAGACAGGTTTGCCACATCCATCACTTAAACCTCAGGATAGTAGAATCATTCGTCCTTCCTGCTTACCCACTGCCAAAGTCATCAGTTTCACTTGCCCTAACACTAGGCATGGGTATTTTATGCCACTCTAAATTGAGTGTGTCCTTTTTGACCACTGTCAGCAAAGCTGCTGGTCCTAATGGCATGACTTGCTCTGGAAGAACCTCCTTGTTGACTGAGCTTGGGGGTGAATAAGAGCAGCTCCAGGAAAGAATACCACAGACGTTTGCTATTCTTAACTAAAGTTCAGCAATTCATCAAGCATAAGCTCTTTTCAGATTTCGATATATTGTTGGTCAATTTCCATAGCATCAGAATGGCTAATTTTGTTAATTTTTTTCAGCTTTATAGTTTTTTTTGGTTTTTTTTTTTTGGTGATATTGGGGAGAAATTTGTGACCTCTTTTCTCAGCCATAGTCAGAAGTCAGAATAATGTTCTGAAATTTGGAGGATAAAATATGAATAAGAAGAGGGAAGCGTTTTCTTCTACTCTAAATTGTTAGGGCTTTGGCAAGGTATAATGTGCCTATAGCAGGAACAATGTTTAGCAGAAATGAAGAGGAGTAATAAAGGAAAAATAAGCAAAATAATGAATTCAAGATTGCACAACTCTTTGAAGTGTAAGTGCATTCAGAATGCAGAGATTCTACTGATGTATAATTCATAAGCATTTATGAAACTGGCTATGCAAAAGGTTTGGAAAAGAGAGGGAGGGGACTTACAAATAATAGTCTTCCTAAGCTGTCCCTTGCATGACTAGTTCTTGTCAATATGGAAAAAGAAGACATCCCAAATCCCAGCCCTTAAAGGTTTTATATTCCAGGCACAGAAGCTTGTGACCTTGGACTCCCTGTTACACTTTCCAGTCTGATTCTTTCTACATCTTTCAAACGGGGGTGTGATAATACTAACAGAGGTGATATAAGGCTTAGTAAAGTTAATGTTGGTAAAGTATTCTTAAGACCCTGGATACATAGGTCTCAGGGTATCTAATTCATAGGACATTTTAGTCAAACTAGCAGTTTTGGTTGCTTCTTAGCTTTTAATAATGCAAGTTTCCTCTGATAGCTGAAGTAAATATCTACTAGACAGGCACTTCAACCAACCAAGCCATGGCACTGGCTAATATCTGAAGTAAATATCTAAAACCGTTACTTTATATTTATATGTATGTGTGTGTATATATGTATATATACACACAATTATGCATATATATGTATATATACACAATTATACATATATAAGACATATATATAATATATACATACATATTATACATATATAATACATATACATATAATATATAAATGTGTGTATATAGTACAGATATATATACACACACATATATATTTGTGTGTATATATGTATATATATGTGTGTGCATATATGTACATGTAGATATCTGTACAACAGAGGCGGGGAGGAGAGAGAGATTGTTTTAAGGAATTGACTCGTGATTTTTGGAGGTGGAAAAGGATGAAATCTGAAATGAGCAAGCTAGAGACCCAGGAAAGTTGAAGTTGTAGTTCCAGTTCAAGTCTAAAGGCCTGACAACCAGGAAAGCTGATAGTATAAGTTCCAGTTGAGTCTGAATCCAAAGGCTGGAGAAGACAAATGTCCCAGTGCAAAGACAATCAGGCAGAGAAAAAGTATCCTTTTGAACTCTAGTGTTTTTCTGTTCAGGCCTTCAACTGATTGGATGAGGCCCACCACTTTGGGGAGGGCATGTGCTCTACTCTGTCTACTAATTGAAATCCTAATCTCATCCGGAAGCACTCGCACAGGCACGCCAAGAAATAATACTTAACCAAATATCTGTGTTGACATTATGGCTCAGTCAAGTTGACAGATAAAATTAACTATCACACCATATCCTGAGTGTCAGTCCTCCCCCTGGAAATGGTCATGTTCAGATGATTGACCATTTCCAGTATGGGTGCCTCTCATAGATTCCAGTCTGTGGGAACCCACCAAGCCACAGAGAGTTTACTAATGATCTACTGTTGTGGAATGAATTACCCAAAACCAGAAGCTTAAAACAAGACACATTTATTATCTCACAGTTTCTGTGGTTCAGGAGTCCAGGCATGACTTAGCTGGGTCCCCTGTTCTTGGGTCACAGGCTGAAATCAAGATGTCAGCTACACCTGCTGTATCATCTAAAGAGTTAACGAGTAAAAGAACTGCCTCCAAGCTCACCTGGTTGTTCGCAGGAATCAGTTGCTTTCAAATGGTTTCCTTGAGGCCTTCAGTTCTTTGCTGTTGTCACTAACAATTTCCTACCATGTAGCTTTCAACATGAATGCTTGCTTTATTAAAATATGGAAGTCAAGAAGGCAACAGAGTGTGACAGTAAGGCAGAAATAACAATCTCATGTAACCTCATCATGGAAGTGACGTCTATCACTTTTGCAATATTCTGTTGGTCACAAGCAAGTCGCAGGTCCTGCCCAAACTCAAGGACAGGAGATATAAGGGTATGGATACCAGGAGGTGGGGCCACAGTAGGGCATCCTAGAGTCTGACCCCTGCAGGTGAGCAGGAGGACTAAGGATGATCATCAGCTTGACTTCCATCTGTGCCTCTGCAAGTCGTAGGAGGTGCTCTTCGAGTTTTCTGGCAACTTCTCATCTCTGCCATGGGCTGCAAAGTCTCACATTCCTGCCCCTCTTGACCTCCTTGTCTTACTCTGCTGCTTCCCTTATTTTTCTGTCGTTGAGCTAATTCCCAGGCATTCAAACCAAATCCCTATTTGAATTGTTAATGATTTTTCTCTGTCTTGCACAGAGGAGCAAATGAACTTCAAGTTTTATTCTCACAGTTGGAGTGGTGAGGTTGTCTGTGTCTATACTGACCACAGGCCTCTCCCTCCTTAGGTAAGGCAGAAAGCTCAACATCCGTCCTGTCTTGTCTTGTCTTTTTTCTTTTCTTTTCTTTTCTTTTCTTTTCTTTTCTTTTCTTTTCTTTTCTTCTCCTCCTCCTCCTTCTTCTTCTTCTTCTTCTTCTTCTTCTTCTTCTTCTTCTTCTTCTTCTTCTTCTTCTTCTTCTTCTTCTTCTTCTTCTCTCTCTCTCTCTGTCTCTCTCTCTCTCTCCCTCTCTCTCTCTCTCTCTCTCTCTCTCTCTCTCCCCTTTCTTTTCTTTTCTTTCCTTTCTTTTTGAGACAGGGTCTCGCTGTGTCACCCAGGCTGGAGTGCAGTGGTGTGATCAGGGATCTCTGCCACCTCTGTCTCCCATGCTCAAGCTATCATCCCACCTCAGCCTCCCGAGTAGCTGGGATCACAGGCATGTGCCACCACGTCTGCCTAATTCTTGTTTTGTTTTTTTCTTTTCTTTAGTGACAGAGTTTTGCCATCTTGCCCAGGCAGGTCTTGGACTCCTGGGCTCAAGTGATTTGCCCACCTCGGCCTCCAAAAGTGCTAGGATTACAAGCATGAGCCACCATGCCTGGCCTCAGTGTTTCCTTTTTCACTTTATTAGGCTACTACCCGAGAAAGGGAGTGCAGCTTTTTTTCACATGTGCAAATCAGTAAGTCTAATCTGAATTCTTGCTTGTGACGGTCAGAGAGGTTGACCATCCTAACCATACTTCTTGAATCTCCTTTTGGGGCATCTCTCTTGTTTCGGAATAGCTGGGTGTCATCCATATCACTCAACTTTGTTGGTGCTCATGGATGCTCTGTTTGAAAAGAGGCATGGCTCTGCCTCTTACAACAATCCCTAATCCCTGTTCTGGGCTCCTCAGATAATTTTGTCAAGAGCTTCCTGTCAGTAGTTCCTGACTACTCCAATCTCCAGCATCTTTACAAGGCAAGCACATGTTTATCAGATATAATAATCCATATAATATAATAATATATATAATATAATCTAAGGACTTTTAAAATATTGAAGAAATTAATGTTTGTTATCTGAGCATCTGTCAAAGGTATATAGCACTAACAATGAAATCATCCCTTGTGACTCTAAGACACTTTAATATTCACTGATTTGTTTGCAGCGGAAATGAATTTGCTTTAATCTATTTAATCTTTGCCTTGGCACAGGAAACATTAAAATAATTCTTAGAGACAACATTCAGCACCACTGTTTTTCAAAATCGAATATTGATTACTCATTAAATACAAATAGCCGTACCAACTGATGTGGGCAACGTAAAGAGATCATAGCTATGGTTCTGTTCTTAGGAAGGATATAATGTATTGTATAATGAAAACATACACTCATAAAAAGTACCAAGTTCACACTCATAAAAAGTACCAAGTTCAGAAAGTTCACCTTATAAGCTTCAGTCCCTCGGTTCTCCATCCACATTGTGCCAACCTGTCTCCCATTAGACTCTGAGCTCTTTGAGGACATAGACTGTATTTATTCTTTTTTCCCCAGAGTTTTAACCAAAAGATTCTTTTTAGAAAATAGAAAAAATATTTGGGTGTAACTATTAGATTGAGAATATTAGTGGGGGAAAATGAAACTACAGACCAAGATCATGAAGAGGAGAAAATGGGACCTTTCCTTCTTCAACAAACACTGAGGAAATCTGTTCTGGAAATAGCTCTTTTGGTGTCACAGTGGGTGGACATTGCAACATTGCCTTCTTTTCCCTAGAGAGCTCAATTACAATTTGCATTCACAAAAATTATGTAATGAATGAATGCTACTGATAATTCAAAATGGAAATCACATGAATGATAGTGTCACTTCTAGTGCTTATCCATCCATTGGGTCTTTCCATGTCCTCAGAAACAGGCAATGCTCTTTTAATGAGAAGCCCTCTGGCACGTCAGCAACCTCTGGTATCCAGCCTCATCTCGTTGTGCCGTTCACTCTGAAGGTGCCTAATGGCTAAAGTTAATCTGCTTTGGAGAAACTGAAGCACTTCACCATCAGTTCTGTAGACGTTTATCCTTGTTTATGAAATGTGCGTTCAGTTCTTTGCTGATAACTGCTGAGTCAGAGCCAATAGCATCCTGGTGGAGATATCCTTAAGCCCAGACAGTATTGGGTTGGGGGGTATGGAGAGCTGCTCCAGATGCTGTTCCTACTAACTTTTGCTTCCCTGAGCCGCAAAGGAGAATAGAGCTAATTATTGCTTATGAAAATCTGTGAAGTAACATGGAGCCAAGTGTTTTTTGGTATACCCATTATAAGAGGAAGAAACACTTGGAAGGGCCAAGCGATTAAAGAAGAAAAACAGCAGCATTTAATGAAGAGAAACTGTTTCAGGCATGATTTCATGTGGATGGTGTTCTCTTTAGAGATTGGAATCCCCAAGTCAAGGATTTACACACGTTTTAGAGGATAAGGAATCAAGCAGCTAAAAAGGAAAATCAAACATCTTTTCATCTCTAAGGTGAAATTTGTTTATTAGGAAACAGTACCTTTAAATGCGCCTTTCTCTGAATTAATTTCATTTTCCAAAAATGTGTGCAGGTGTCTGCATCAGACTGAGGGAAAGCAGGTGTGGGGAAAAATAATTACCTGGGGCCTATACACAGTTAATCTCATCTCTGAGGATACCTGCAGAAGCCATTGGATGAAATTGTCTCTAAGACCCAAGATGAAAAGGTTATGGGAGGTCAACATTCTTGATTTAAATTTTTGTGGTCTTATCTCTCTTTTCTGTGCAACAATAGAACTTCTGTTATCAAAGGGCTTTCAATTTTGAAAAGACAACTGCTTTGTTAAAGCAAAACATTGGCTGTTGCAAATGAGCATTAAAATGCTAAGCATCTGCTGCCACTTGCCAGAGGGAATAAATATTGCAATTGCTTCCTTCAGAATGCTCAGTTGTTAGAATGCTGGCCAGGATAACACCTGAAGTGGGTGACATTTGAGATAATCAATTTAAGGCATATGCTGAAGTCTGTACTGTTCAACAAGAATAAAAAGCCAAAAGGAAAAATCTTCTCAAATTATATTTAAGACACATCACCACAGGGTAAACTAAAAGCAGAAGTAGACAATCTAGATTCCAGCAATAGTAACAAAAAGATGTGTGGTTAGCAGAACCTTATTACTATGGAGTTTAATTTTATGACTCTACATAATCTTACCAGGCATATTTCTCTCACCGTGTTTACTGCTATTTTTCAGTGGCTTGATACATCCTTGTGTTGATTGAGTGCTGTGGTCTGCATGTGCCCCCCAAAATTCATATGTTAAAACTTAACTGACAATGTGATAGTACCAGGAGGTGGGGTCTTTAGGAAATGACTAAGTCATGAGGATGGATAAGACTAGGCTATTTATGAAATGGCTTCAGGGATAAAGTTCATTCCCTTCTGTCCCTTCTACATGTGAGGACACAGAGTTTGCTCCTTCCCGAGGATGCAGCAACAAGGCCCCATCTTGGAAGCAGAGATCATGCCCTCACCAGATACCTAACCTGCTGGTGACTTGATTGTGAACCTCCAGGCTCCAGAACTGTGAAAAATAAGGTTTTCTTGTTTATAAATTACCCAGTCTCAGGTATTTTGTTACAGCAGCAGAAATAAACTAAGACATTGAACATAGGTCAAAAGATCCTTAATCATAAAATAAACGTTCATTTCTGATTTTGCTTTAAGAAAATTAGCAACTGATAGTAGTGAGCTAGGCATGGTGGTGTGCATCAATAGTTCCAGCTACTAGGGAGGCTAAGGTGGGAGGATCATTCAAGCCCAGGAGTCTGAGGCCAGCTTGGGCAACATACCAAGACCTTGTCTCTTAAAAAATTGCTATTGGTCTCTCTCTTTGTGACTTATCACTTATTATAAGCAAATCATTCAATTCTGATTGAATTGCAAAAATAGTGTAAGAATTTGCAGATCATATAACAGATTTATTGCAGAAGAGCCAAACAGTCTAATTTGATAAGAAGTATTTTTTAAAAATTATATACAGAACAATGTCTTAACTCTTTAGTATCTATCTTCATCCCCAGTGCCATAATCCATACTCAACACCAAACTATGGTAGTTTCCCATACACTATATTGCCTTTTCCTTATTGGACATTTGCTTTGATGGTTTCTCTGTGCTCAGAATGCCCCAACCAGAAGTCACATTCACAAAGACGTATAGTTTAGTGCTTGGCCTTTGTACCAACTTTTTCAAAAGGCAGCCTCTGTCTTTTCACAGTTGAGTTCTGTAACTCTGCTCCTCAGTCCTGTAGCATCTTGTACTTACCACAATCAGAGAACTCCAATACAATTATCTATGTAACTGTTTTTCCCCAACTTTAAAGTTGTTCTTTTGAAGTACAGCAAACATGTCTTACTCATCTTTTTATCCTATGGCCTGGCACCTAATGCATAATAGATACTCAAAAAAGATTTGTTAAAAGAAAGACTGACTGGCTGAATGAATGAGAGTTTGAATTCCTCAAAACTGTCTTAAAGGATCAGCAGTTACACTTCTTTGGTTGAAACAATAAAATCCACCACTGAGTAACCTGAGAAAGAAGAGGAGTTTCCCGGAAAGTTACTGAGATAGCTCAGAAATAGAAGGAAAGAGTGGGCAATCCTGCTTTATGAAGACAGTACCCAGCACAGTTCTGAATATCCAGATAGAGAAAGTTCATGGAACTTCTAAGGTGCAGCCATCAGTTGGGAAGTTTTAACTACCTCTTGCTCCTGTATGTCATCAGTCATGTTCAGCTCCAGGAGAATCTCAGGTACTCACTGCTATGATCAGAGTGCTAAGATCTGTTATAGGAAGTGAATGTGTTGGAAAAGTGTCTGAGCAGATAATAGCAGTAGCTGCCTGAAGACCTCTTCCTCAAAGTTTATCATATAGAAGGATTGAAGGTAGAGATTTGATGGGGACATTTTTTTCTATTACGTTTTGATATCTGTACATTTTTTTTAAAAGGTAGCATAAGGGTTGAACTTCAGAAGTTTAAATACTTGAATGACTTTTTGAACAACTGCTTCCTCTAGTCTCCTTTCTGCTTCCCTACAATGCTTTGTTCATTTGGTGGGAGTAGAATTCATCGGGGTGTGTGGAATGAAAGTGTTGAGACTTCTACTCAAGTATATTTTAGTTCATATTTCTTAATTTCCATTTTATACATAATTTTTTAGATACATAATATATTATATACCTGTAGCATGCAAATACTTACATATAAAAAGGCATTTTATTCTTTTTTACATTAGAGCTATAAGATCAGAAACTTTGGAGACTATAGTTCTAAATGATCTAATTCTATTAAGTTATAAGGCTTTGCAAAAGTAAATATGAAAAACAATAAGAAAACTTTGTAACATGGCAAACTGTAGTTACATTGAAAACCAATATAAAATAAAGTACTTTGTATTATATATTGTATATGTTAATAAATTTGCTAATATTTTTTATTGTAAAATAAAACAAGATTTATTTTTCTGGCTAAAGGACTTGACCAGGTTTGATTGTGGTAGTAGTCTGTTAAAATATCCTCAAACATTACTTTTGTGATTGGTGATAGTGATAACAATACCTAATTAAAGACTGGCTTTTTTTGAGCAAATCCATCAAAAATAGATTCCTCCAAATGATTCCATCAAGTCAAAATTGTTACATGTAACATGGCAGGAGAAGTCACTCGTTTACTTGGCGTATATTCTAAACTTAATGTTCTGATTCAGTAACCACAGACTTTAAGAATTTCGAAGAAGAAACCATGCCATTTCTATATGTCTAATATTCCATTTTATGACTTGAATTAATTAAAACACAAACTGAAATCTTTCAAGTGAAGTTGTTTGAGTTTCTTGGAAAAGCCAAATACATAGTATCTTCATGAGAAAAAAAGAAAAAAAACAAACATACTGTGTTTACCTGACAAAAAGTCAGCAAAGCAATTCATGAGAGTGTGAAAGATTTAATTAGTCAGCAATGTTGTTTTTTACTTCACTAAATACTGATTTTGCTTTTACTCATTTATTTCGTTTTATGTTGGATTGAGTTGGCTGAATTGGTGATGTTGCGTAGATAAATGAATCTACATTTAGAGGTTATCCTTTCTCCTGGCATTGGGTATCCTGTGGATGGTTAATCTTTCCTCTTTCTTTTCCTCATTTCCTCCTCATTTGAGGAAGAAATCAGCAGGATCAGCTCTGCCCTTTTCTCCATCTTTTGTTGGATCTGCCTGCCTGTAAAGAGGGTGCAATCTGACTGTGGTGTATTGATTGCAAATTGGCCCAAGCCCCTACTTGCCCTGTTTTGATGCCCTTGCAATGTTATTTTCAGTTCCTTCCTTCAAGATGTGCAGTCTATTTTTGCACGCCTTGGATATAGACTGGTTTTGTGACTTGCTTAGGTTAGCAGGAGGCAGGAGAAATGACAGTATGTTTGTGCTTTCCTGGCTCTCTTTGAACCCTACTGTGCCATAAGAACAAGCCCAGACTAATCTGCTGGAGAGAGAGAAACTACTTGCAGCAGAAAGAGTTGTCCCTACTGATGGCATCCTAAGCCGGCCAGACCCCACCCAGCTGACCTGCCAGCTAACTCTGATTGTACAAGTGAGTCCCACCAAGATCAGTGGAACCTCTAGGCCAAGTCATAGACTTGAGAGCACAGATAAATATTTATTGTGCAGGACACTGTGATTTTGTAGTTATTTGTTATACAGCATTAATGAGACAATGGGAAAATTGATACATCTGTTTTTCCCATGAAGTAAGATTAGGAGGGAAGGGGATGAGAAATTCCTTTGCCCAGGAATTATATGACAGGAAGTACCATCTGTATTTTGGGATGAGGTGTTAGAAAGTCGTTTTTACTATAGATCTAAAGCCACACTAATCAGGTGATGAGAAACAGGTTGACATTTTGGTCTCCATTTATTTGTCTCCTGTGTCTTTTCTCATTTGGCTCCAAACTCAGGGAGGGCAGAAAAGTGTGACAAATTGATGCTCTAAAATGCATGCTTAGCTAAATGTTGTGGAAAAAATTTAATAAGAGTAAAACATACATAATGCGTATTCATGTGATAGCAGTAAAAAAAAGGATTAGAATCATTGTCGTAAGTTATTTCAACTGACTACTATTAGTAAAATGTAGCCCTTTGTTCGAATTGTATGCTAAAATGAAAAAAAGTAACTTGTTAGTAGACAGTGAAATCCCCAATGAATGATTGGCTAATTTATATATCACTGATTACATATTTGCATGGGCTGTTGAACTCATCATAAAGAAGGCAGCTCCTCCTATTTGTGTATCTATCCCTGGTATTCTACAAGAATTAGATACATTTCAGGGAGGAAATATCGTGGTGAGTTACATATTTGTTCATGTTGACTTTTCAGGCCAATGGTCAGTACAGATAGGAATTTGTCAGAGACATAAAGTACTACAAATCATTAATGTATTTAATCATACAACACATATTTATTAAGCATCTGCTATTGGTCAGGCTACTACTGTATTTGTCAGTGCAAGGAATACAACAGTGCATTGAATACACAAAAGTCAGAAACTTTAAGAACTTATAGGGTAGTGGGGTATACAGACAGTAAATAATTAAACCTATAAATTATATTTTATTTAGATTATAAATATTATTTATTTTTTTCAGTTGGAATAAGTGATATGAAGGAAGGAAACAGGGTAAAGGAATAAAATGTGATGGAGACGGGTAGCTACTTTAGATAGGGTGGTCAAGGGAGGCCTCTGTGAGGAACTCAGATTGAAGTAGAGAACAGAAAGAAGTCAGAAGACGGTCATTTAAATATTTCAAGAAAACGCACCCCAGGTATAGGGAATAGCAAGTGTAAGAAAGTAATGAGTAGGAAAACAAAGGACATATGCCAAGATGGTTTTCTTCCTACAAACTTAAATGGCTTTACCCATGATATGTCTCATTCTTTAGAAGGACTGAGATGGGGCTTAGAAGCAACATGATGGGATGAGAAATAGGAGGAAAAGCTGGGAAGGGACAACTGGGTACCATTCAGAAAAGGGTATATCAAATAATTACAGAAGAAAATGGCTAGCTATACATGTGCCTGTCTGCAATCACTGGGAAGGAATATTTATTACTTGGAGCTATTCACGTAGCAGAATTGTCATTGAGTGATTGCATTTGAGGGAATAAAACCTGGCTGCTGATACTAGATCAACCCTCCACACACATTCCTTTGATAAAGTTGAGCTGTCATTGAAGACTATCATTGACTATTCTGTAGACCAAGATGATCTATCTAGTTTCTTCAACTCAATATATTATCTGTGTTAATGAACACAGTCATACTAATAAAGAAAACAATTCATTTGCTGATGTTAGAATTTTGATACCAATCCAAAAGTGCTAAACTTCTTTGTGAATTTCTTGAATAGTGTCACAAAAATGCATGTCCACTCAGAACTTGGGAATGTGACCTTCTTGAATACAAGGCCTTTGCAGATGTAATCAGATTATGATGAGGTGCTACTGGACTAAAGGTGGCCCTAAGTCCAATAACTGGTGTCCTTATAAGGAGAGGGGATTTGGAGACAGAACAAAGACACAGAGAGAGGAACACCATGTGAAGATGGCGGCAGAGGTTGGAGTGATGCATCCAAGGAAGAGGAAAGACTGAAGCAACCGCTAGAAGCTGAGAGAGTGGTATGGAACAGTTTGTTTTTCAGAGTCTCAGATGGAGCATGGCCCTGCTAACACCTTGATGTGGCCATTGAGCTTGCAGAACTGTGAGAGAATAAATTTCTGCTGCTTAAAGCCACCAAGTGTGCGGTAATTAATACACCTGCAACAAGAGCTCAGGGATACTCATCCTTCTGGCTAAGTGAGTGACCATACTTGTTTGAGGTTTATAGGTCAGTAGACCTATAATAGTAGAATAGGATTAAATGCACTCAAAACTAAAATTATTTTGAATATAGTATGTATTTGAAAAATTAGAACACATTGCAGGATTTATAGTATTTTAGGATTATCATGAAGAATAAACAATTTTATACATTTTCTGAACGTGTGTTGTTTCACTGCAAATGTGTTGAAAAGGTAAAATAAAATAAAAATATCCTTCTATAGAACAATAAAGATTAGTAGTCTGGGAGGTTCATCTGTTCAACAGAAACTTATTAAGTGCCAGGCACAGTGCTAAGTGCTAAGGTAGGCAGTTAAATAAGCCTTTCTGAGTTCAATCTTTGCTGATAACATTTGACATATTTTGAAAATTATTTAAAAAATTATTTGTAGTTGTTAGAATGAGTGAAAGGAATCCGTTGTTTGTAGATTTTATAATACACTGTCTTGCTAATTTTCTTTTCCCCATTATTCATGGATAATTAAGGAATGAAGTAAAATTCTCACCAATAGGCTTCCTCAAGAACGTCAAGACTAATTTTATCTCAGTGTTGTGACCTACATGTCAAATGAATCTGAGGAGCTGGGAAGAAAATAAAATTTTAGGCAAAGCCAGAGGGTAATTCATGCTGTGGTGTATGTCAGACAATGCCTGGTGAGAATATTAAAGTGCTTCAGTTAAGTCAAAGTTTTGACGAATGTTCAGAGTTTTCCTGTTGACTTTATAGCCTGAGCTAACAGTATAGACCATTTGTCATTGTCAGTGCCTAAGGCCGCATCGACGATGTCAATACCAGCGGCAACAACAATTCTTTGAATAAAATGTTATGTTTTCCAGTAATGAATCCAGTGTCTTTACATATTGGCTCCTGATATCTCAGCCCCTTGGCCCTGAATACTTTCCAGAAGACTTGAGCTGCTAAGAACATGTGTGGAATGTATCAGGTTTAAAAGTAGGCTTCAATTTTCCTAGGACTCAGGAAGTTTTTCTCTGTCTTGCTGTAAAGTGTGGGATGCTAGAAGGAATGACTGGGAACTCTCAGGTATTCAGTACCACTCACTATTACAACTCAATCATACAGTCACTGAGTTACTGTTGAAGGAATGAACGAGAAGCTGCAGACATAATAATTAGGTGAGAATGGTAAAGGAGCTAGGAGTTTTCTTTTTTTTTTAAATTATACTTTAAGTTTTAGGGTACATGTGCACGACGTGCAGGTTTGTTACATATGTATACATGTGCCATGATGGTGGGCTGCACCCATTAACTCGTCATTTAACATTAGGTATATCTCCTAATGCTATCCCTCCCCCCTCCTCCCACCCCACAACAGGCCCCTGTGTGTGAAGGAAGAAGACTGAGAAGTAACTTAGTACCCAAGCAAATGGCAGACTCTTGTGTAAAGTGGGACATAGTAGAAAGATTTATAGTGGAAACAACTTTTCAGTTAACTGCATGGCCTTGCAAAAGTTCAACTTTATGTTCCTCCATGACTTCGTCTTCAGTTTTGGGATGATGATACAGGTGACGACTGGAACCTAGCTCACATAGGTGCTGGATGAATGGCAGCTGCTGTTTCTTCCACACATCCTAGGTATGATGAGATCCTTGAAATTAAGAGTCATGTATTGCCAATCTTTGTATTCCATAGAACTACTAGTTCAATGCTTGACTCAGAATGGGAATTCAATATATTTATTGAATTAAAATGCAATATATATGATTTAGTTTAGACATAAAAGAAACTTTTTTTTTTTAAATTACGTAAGTTCTGCACATTCCTGGACTCACTTATTTGCAGGAGGGCTAGAATTGTCCTTTTAAGTTTTTGGAAATAGGAGGTGCTGATGTGTTTGGATATTTAGGTGTCAACATAGAGATGTTTAATATTGTTACTTTATTTATATTAGTGCATTTTGGATAAAAGCCTCTCAAGTCTTTAAAACTGTGGAAGAGACTGCGATAGGGAACTTTTTTTTTTTTTCTAGAGAATTAAGGTCCCCAAATGAATCAATGTACTATGTGGGTAGTAACATTCTGAATATGACTTTCTTCTTTCTATTAATAAATGGAATCTAGTTGACCTCTTCAACTTTTGCTGGGCTACAGCTATTATTTCAAAATTTAAAGAGATCCATGCTTGCCCTTGGGCCTAAAATTCCAATTAAAATGATGCCCCTGGCTATTAACTCCACATCCACAGAGATAATAATTGATCCAAGGAATATGTGTTGAATGGCTTGTTCTCATATCTTTTTAATGTCTTTCCCGAAGTAGTGTCTTAATCCTCCCCAAACCTAAGAGTATCCACAAAACAGAATAGGGCAGAGGTTTTTATTCACAGCAGTCATTTCCTTGCTCTCCCTTGCATGTTACCTTTGTTCAAGCCAGCAGCTTGAGCTCCCACTGTTTTGTTGTCTAATTCTGTATGTTTGCAAGCTCTTTATTTTCTTTTTTCCTGTTTACCTCTTGGGTTGCTCTGAACAAGATAAAATGGATTCAGTTGAATGGCAACATTATGTGATTTGATTTCCATTACTATAATGCCTCCCCTCCCTTTTTTGCTTTTGCTGATAATCATTTCTCTTAACTAACCATGATAATTAGCATTTTGTGTTTCTTAACAGCTGTTTTCTCTCTAGTCATCTTAAAAAAACCATAACACACAAACGGGTATTTTTCTTCAAGTCATTTTTGTCTTTGGATTTCTAGTTTTAATTGGTTTTCTCATTTGCTGCTATTCAGAAATAATTCTATTTCCATGTAATGCAATTAAAAAATATTTTTGACAAGAATTGCTTTCGAGTATTAGTTTTACTTCAAATTGTTTTGCTTTCATTTCAGCACATGAAAAAGATATTCTAGAAGATATTAATTTAACAAATCATCCCCATGATTTTTCTGAGGTTTGCAGTCTGTATTAAGACATAAGATATTCAAAGTCCAAACTTAAAAAAAAAAAAAGAAAACAGGTTTATCTTACTGAAAGACAATATTCAATTATAGATGAAATTAATCACACTTTTTTTTTTTTTTTGAGATGGAGTCTCGCTCTGTTGCCCAGGCTAGAGAGTGCAGTGGCATGATCTTGGCTTACTGCAACCTCTGCCTCCTGGGTTCAAGCAATTCTCCTGCTTCAGCCTCCTGAGTAGCTGGGATTATAGGCGTGCACCATCATGCCCAGCTAACTTTTGTATTTTTAGTAGAGATGTGGTTTTGCCATGTTCGCCAGGCTTGTCTCAAACTCCTGACCTCAGATGATCCACCCCGCTCGGCCTCCCAAAGTGTTGGATTACAGGCGTGAGCCACCATGCCTGGCCACATTTATAATAATTCTTTATAAAGACCATTCCTTATATATCATTAAATAATGTTTGTGTAGTATAAATGTGTCATAGAATTTTAAAGTAGAAAGATGTTATAAATATAATTTATAAAAATTAAAACCGTATTTTTATTAAGAAAATTTACTTATTCTTTAAATACTTATTTAAATATTTAGGTAAACCATAATCAATTAAGGTTTTCTGCAAGAAGAATTGATGCAGCAAACATTTAGTTCCTATGAATCTCTCTTTGTGACAAGGTATCCCAATGCAGTGAGAGATCTATTTTGAGCAGACATCTGGTTTCATGCTTAAAGAAATTCATTTTATTCTATGGTTTACCTTGGGAAATATTACAGATCAATGAGTAGCACTATTCCTTAGCTTTCCAACTTTGCGTTGGAGTTCATAAATATTAATCACTTTACTTCCTTCCTCTTTGCCCTGTAATGAAAGATATCAGAGTTCAGGTGGCACAGAGGTGCATCAATGCCCAGTGAAATGTGGAGAGTGAATCACCACCTAACATCTAGAAGACTACACATTCACCTAGAAAATAATGGTTTCTGAACCATGCATAGATTGAATACTCTAGATTTGCCCTTGGCAATTTATGTCATTTCTAGACATATTTTTTTCCTTTCTTCACCTGCTGTCATTCACTTGAATTATTTCTACTCTCTAGGAAGCTTGTCTATCTTCTATGTGACAAAAAATTGTTTATAAATTTAGCAAAAGAATCCAAGGACAGTAAAATTAATTCATAGAAAAGCATTAACAAATTTCCCTTTAGGTGGCAAATGCGGAAAGCAACACTTATGTACATAAGACATTACTTTTACTTATCATACTTTTGAGCTCTTAGCTGAAATATTATTTTTATTGTTATTTTGTCTACTCATAGTAACGTTTAAGGACAATATTTAAAATACTTAAGAACTATTATGAGAAACCAATGTTTATAAAATTGCAGATACGTAAGGTGAGTCTCTGATTTAGTAAGTTTGTAAGTTTATTTTTAAAAAGACCCAAGCCTCCATTTATCTCCAGTTTCTCTTACAAATATTATTATTTCCCAGAAAATTATCCAGCTTTTTATATAAGATTCATCTATTGTATTGCCATTTAAATTACTACTTTCATAAAAGTACTGCCCCACCTAGTCTCTCCAAAACAGATTAAAATGTTTTAAAAAATGCAAGGAGAAAAAGAAAGAAAATAAAATGAATATTTAAATACTCAATTTATGATGCATTGTTTGATCATAACTGTTGAGTGTATGGATGGAAAGATGAGAAAACGTGGTCTGATATGACTTTTCTTCAAGTCTCAAAACAAGAATGTGAACAATTTTCTAAATCATTTCAAATAGAAAGAATATACTTATCTCAACTCTTGGAAATTTTGCCAAAGTTGATTTTCATTTTGAAAAGTCACCTGGCATAGATAAAGGAAAGTGCACCCCACCCAAGTTTGTATTTCAGTTTCCAGGCTTGAGTGTCCCTCATAACCCTGTGAGTACTTCATATAACGCTGTTATGCTCATTTAATACTGAGGAGACTGAAGCCCAAAAGACTGAAATGCTAAGCCTAACTTTAGCCCTCATTCTAACACCATACAGTTGCCTAGTGTTAAATAAAATTCACAGGAGGCCATTGGTTTGGACTGAGCTCCTGAACTAGGTCCAACAGGTCAAACCAAACGGACCCACTCAGGCTGAAGTTCCACCTCACCAAGCCAAAACTAATTTGTTTATCTGACCTTTCCAGAAATCAGCAGAAACAGAGATGATAGTCATATCCCCAAACAGGTCAGTTTTAGCCTGAGTGGTAAGAAAGTCCCCTCTGCTTTAGCCTTTACAAGAATAGTAACTTTGTCTCTGTTTTTTGAGACAGGGTCTTGCTCTGTTGCCCAGGCCAGAGTGTAGAGGTGTGATCTTGGCTCACTGCAACCTCCGCCTCCCAGGTTCAACTGAATCTCATGCCTCAGCCTCCCAAGTAGCTAGGTTTACAGGCATGCACCGCCACACCTGGCTAATTTTTTGTATTTTTAGTAGAGATGGGGTTTTGCCATGTTGGCCATGCTGGTCTCAAACTCCTGAGCTCAGGTGATCCGCCCACCTCAGGCTCCCAAAGTGCTAGGATTACAAGCGTGAGCCACGATGCCCTACAAGAATAGTAACTTTGAAATAACTAATCTGCTTTTTGTTTTCTGTTCCTGCTTTCTTCAGCACTTTTCTGCCTGTAAAGCCAACATCCTCTGCTCAGCTCCTTGGAACATTCATTCTACTTATATAAGAAGATGTTGCTCAATTCTAGAATGGCAAATAAAACCAATGAAGATCTTTAAGCTATGTTTGTTGTAATTTTGTCTTTTGACATTAGGAGCAAATGGATGGCTGTTTCAGTACATTTCATTTTTCATATATTAGTGTTTTTCATTCTTGTGCATTTTTCCATTTTGTTTGTTTGTTTTCCTGCGCCGTTGCCCATGCTGGAGTGCAGTGGTGCGATCATAGCTCACTACAGCCTCAAACTCTCGGGCGCAAGTGATCCTCCCACCTCAGCCTTCTGAGTAGCTGAGATTACAGGCACGAGCCACCCCACCCAGCCTGTTTGGGGCTCTTAATTAAAATCCTCTTTGGTTCCAGATTCATTTTCTTCACCGATATGTTTATTTCACATATTTAATGTGTTCTATTCACCATTTTCACATTCTATAGAAGATACAGTGGAAAGAAAATATCAATCTCGAATATAGCTTTGATTCCAGAAGCATCACAGAGTTTGTACACACTTGAAAGAAAGGCTTCTAACATTAGGTTTCTCACCTAGAAGGATACTGGAGATACAAAGCCTGTCTAGGAAAACAAACCATTCTCCCTGCTAAAATGAAATGATACAGAAGGACCTGAAAGGACAAGTGAGCTCAGAGGTGGTAAGAGTGTAAGACCTTTGCCAAAAAACTAGACAGAAACCCAGGTGAATTAGAGAAGGATCAAATAGAAGAAGAAAAGATGTATTATAAAAATGACAAATATAATTATCACTCTTTAATGATATACTGGTTATATCTTCAAAGACCTAGGCAGTATTATTGAAAATCTACTAGATTAGTAAAAGAATTTGATCTGATGTCTGATGCAAGATAAGCACACAAATCAACTTCTGTCTATTAATTCACCAGTAATAGTAATAGTATTTAGTAATTGTGGAATATTATTACTAATTCACCTAGAAATAAAATTGTGAAAATATTTTTGCCAAATGTGATAACACTCATAATATAATTGAAAGCAAATTTAACAAAAATATGAAAGCCTCAATGAAGGAAAACATAACATATAAATCATACAAAAGCATAAGGACATGTTTATCCTTCCTGAAGGATATAAAATAGAATCAAAACAAATAGAAATACATACCACATTTTACATGAAAAGACAATATTAGAAAATGTCAGTTTTCCTAAAACTGATATATAAACTTAATACAGTTGCTATTTCTATTTGCTTTCTACTGCTGCGTCATAAATTATCACTAACTTAGCAGCTTAAGAAATACCTATTAATCTCAGAGTTTCTGTAGGTCCTAAGTCTGGGGAAAGCGTAACAGGCTCTTTGGTTCAGTTTTTCACCCAGCTGCTATCCAGGTGTCAGCTGGGGTGTGGTCTTATCAGAGGCCTGACTGGGGAAAGATTCACTATCAATTCATTCAGTTTTGGCAGGATTTATTTTCTTGTGGGTATAGAACTGAGGCCCCTGTTTGCTCCCTGTTGGCCAAGAAGAAGCTCTTTGCATCTAGAAGCCTCCCAAAGGTCTTTGCCACACAGTCATGTAAGAAGTTACAACATGACAGCTTATTTATTCATAGCCCGTATGGGAGTCTGGTTAGCAAAGTGGGTACTATTGCATGTATAGTAACATAATCATGAGAGTAATACTCATCACCTTTGCCATAGAACATACCCTTACTATGGGAGTGACATTCTTGCAATGTTGCCCAGGCTGGTCTTGAACTTATGGCCTCAAGTGATCCTCCCACATCAGCCTCCCAAAATGTTGGGATTAGAGGCATGAGCCATTGCACGTGGCCAAAAATATATTTTTAAAAAAGAAAAGTGAAAAGGTATACTTATTTATAAGTCTTACCATATTTAAAAGTGCAGAGTTCATGGATGGAATTTTTTATATATTCCTCTAATGCTACAGTGTCAATTGACATGTAGAATCAATAGAATAGCCATGGTACTTTTGTTTCCTATTGTAAAGTCTGGCTGTGTCTATTTTTAAAAGTGCTGGATGATGCTTTTAATGGGTAATAACTTAATAACTTGCTATAATCAGTTTGTCTCTACCATCTCCACATTAGTTACCTGCTATTTCATCCAAACTTTCTGTTCCATACCAGCATCTGCACTGATTTTAAAACTCTTTACCTCCCTTTCCAGTAAACAAAGAAACAAAAATAGGAAACAATGAATCACATCACAACAATGTCTATGTGTGCCCTCTGCCTCAGAAGAGAATAGTGATTTTTAAATGTAAGTCATTACAATGATAGACCCCCTTTCTCAGGCCAAAAGAAATGGGCCTTTGCCATAATAGCAAAAAGCAGATTTTGTACTTACCTAAGATTTTAATCAGTGATGACAGTGATTGTATTAAAATTACTTGCACTTTTAGCATGTTAAAGAGTTATCTCGTTATCCCCTTTTAGTGGTTTCACAACCATATTTAATCAGATAGCAAGTCTATAGATAAAATCTGGCATTTTTAAATACAAAATTGCTTATGCAGTAAAGGAGAAGCATGCTTCTAACAGCTGGATCCTTTGGCAAGATACCCTTATATTTGCTTTCACTTGTGCTAAGGAAAACTGTCTTTAGCCACCTGAGATGGTAGCCCAATGCCAGCTGTTTTGGGCTGTAGAGGGTGTGCTGAGTAGTGAGCCTGTAGCAGTGTGACCTGTGCCAGTATCCAGATACCATTTGTTGATTTGCTCGAGTAAACACTCACCATTTAGAGTCCAGTGAGGAAACACCACTTGTACTTTGTTACATAACTTAAGTACAGCACATTTAATTTAATTGGTTTTGTAATGATTACTATAACCTACTTTTATTTTAAAAAATGGTAAAGACATTTCCAAAATTAATTAATGCAACAAATTTCTGCTTATACAGTTCTTAAATGAGAAATAGTTTTTATGTGTAACATATTTTCATGGTGAATTTTTATAAATTTTATTTGATAAATGAAATAGCTATTTTCGAAATCAATATGGAGAATATTTAAAAATAAATACTTTGGTAACTTTTAAGACGGTCTAGATTAAAATATTAATAGAGGACATAAATATGAAAAATGTGCAATGGCTAGTTACAATTAATGTCTATTTCTGGTTAATGAGGGCAAATGCATTTTCTTTCAAGTACTTGAAACAACACTACAATTTTCATTAGACTATATTTTTTAGAAGAAAATACTGTAATACTAAATGTGTAATTTTAAGTGTTTATAAGGCTTTTAGTATTACACTATTTTCTTAAAATTAGTGTAGTAGAAAAAGCATTTAATTAGCAGACCATGTCTACATTTACATTTGTTATTTCTCTTGTGTCAGATTAAGTTGTGATTTGTCTGTTATATGAAATAGTCAAGTTTATTTGGCTTAAGTTGTTCATAATGACCTGTTATCCTTTTATTGTCTGTAAGGTCCATAATGATATCTTATTTTTCATTTCAGATAGTGGTGATGTTTCTTTTCTCACATTTTTCTTGCCAGAGATTTATCTTTTTTCTTTTTTTCATCTTTTCAAAGAACCAACTTTAGGTTTCATTGGTTTTCTATATTGGTTTTCTATATCATTGATATCTGCTTTTTGTTATTTCTTGTCATCTATTGAATACATTCTTGCTATTCTATTTCCCACTTATTGAAATGCATGCTTATAATATTGCTTATAATTCTTTTTATGTTTCTACTATATGCATTTAAAGATAAAAATTTTATAAATTCTCTATAGAAATGCTTAGCTACATCACACAAGTTTTGATATGTTGTTCCAACATAGTTTAATTCAAAGTATTTAATCAATTTTAATGTGATTTTTTTCTTTCACTTGTCAAATATATAAAAATATATGCTTAATTTCCAAACATTGGGACTTTCTCATAACTTGTTATCACGTATTTCCAATGTAATTCTATTGTGTATAATTGAAATCATATTCTATATGACTTAAGTCATAGAGAAAATTATTTACAGCCTGCCATATGATGAATTTGGTAAATGTTTTATGAGCACTTGAAAAGAATGTGTATCCTACAGGAACAGAAAAGCAAACACCATATGTTCTCACTCATAAGTGGGAGCTGAACAATGAGAACACATGGACACACGGAGGGGAACATCACACACCAGGGCCTATCGGGGGGTGGGGGGAAAGGGGATGGAGAGCATTAGGACAAATACCTAATGCATGTGGAGCTTAAGACCTAGATGAGGGGTTGATAGGTGCGCATGTATACGTGTGTATATGTATACCATGGCACACGTATACCTATGTAACAAACTTGCATGTTCAGCACATGTATCCCAGAACTTAAAGTAAAATAATAATAATAAAAAAGAAAACAATGTGTATTCTGTTACTCTTGGGTATAATGTCATTGTACTTTGTTAATTAGGTGCCATTAGTTTATAGCACTATTAGCATTTTGGGTAGTCTTATTGATATTTTTTGTTTGATTCTTCTATTAGTTATTGAGAGTTTGTTAAAATCTCCAAGGATGATTTTATATTAATCTATTTATCCATTTTAGTTCTGAAAATTCATGCCTTACATATGTTGAGATTATGCTATTAGGATCATGCACATTTATAATTATTCTATCTCCTGGCACGTTGACCGATTTATCATTACAAAATGTCTCTTTTTATTTTTGATATTTTTTGCTGTAGTGTCTAGGGTTTCTAATATTAGTATAGTTATGTTATCTTTTTGTGTTTCATAATATATATTTATGTTGTATAGTACACGTATATATTTTTCATCTTTTTTCTGCAGCTTCTATTCTGTTTTTTTTCATGCTTTTGTATGAGTATTTTTGATCACCAATCCTTCAGTTCACTGATTTTCTCTTTTGTTGTTTCTAATCTACTGTTAAACCTATATATTAAATTCTAAATTTCAGTTATTGTATGTTGCAGTTCTAAAATGACCTCTTGGTCATTGGATTCTTTTTGTTAAAGAGTCCAGTCCTATGGTGAATCTCCCCATTTTTCCATGTACTCTTTTTAGCACAAGAAATTAATTATATTTATCCTCAAGGGTGTATGATGATTCTAGTATGTATGTAACCTGTGGGTCTGTTGTTTTTATTGTCTTCAGTCATTTTCTTCTATCTCCTGGAACACTTGAAAAATTTTGGTGTTTTAGACATGAAATCCTTGCCCATGCCTATGTCCTGAATGGTAATGCCTAGGTTTTCTTCTAGGGTTTTTATGGTTTTAGGTCTAACGTTTAAGTCTTTAATCCATCTTGAATTAATTTCTGTATAAGGTGTAAGGAAGGGATCCAGTTTCAGCTTTCTACATATGGCTAGCCAGTTTTCCCAGCACCATTTATTAAATAGGGAATCGTTTCCCCATTTCTTGTTTTTCTCAGGTTTGTCAAAGATCAGATAGTTGTAGATATGCGGCATTATTTCTGAGGGCTCTGTTTTGTTCCATTGATCTATATCTCTGTTTTGGTACCAGTACCATGCTGTTTTGGTTACTGTAGCCTTGTAGTATAGTTTGAAGTCAGGTAGCGTGATGCCTCCAGCTTTGTTCTTTTGGCTTAGGATTGACTTGGCGATGCGGGCTCTTTTTTGGTTCCATATGAACTTTAAAGTAGTTTTTTCCAATTCTGTGAAGAAAGTCATTGGTAGCTTGATGGGGATGGCATTGAATCTATAAATTACCTTGGGCAGTATGGCCATTTTCACGATATTGATTCTTCCTACCCATGAGCATGGAATGTTCTTCCATTTGTTTGTATCCTCTTTTATTTCACTGAGCAGTGGTTTGTAGTTCTCCTTGAAGAGGTCCTTCACGTCCCTTGTAAGTTGGATTCCTAGGTATTTTATTCTCTTTGAAACAATTGTGAATGGAAGTTCACTCATGATTTGGCTCTCTGTTTGTCTGTTATTGGTGTATAAGAATGCTTGTGATTTTTGTACATTGATTTTGTATCCTGAGACTTTGCTGAAGTTGCTTATCAGCTTAAGGAGATTTTGGGCTGAGACAATAGGGTTTTCTAGATATACAATCATGTCGTCTGCAAACAGGGACAATTTGACTTCCTCTTTTCCTAATTGAATACCCTTTATTTCCTTCTCCTGCCTAATTGCCTGGCCAGAACTTCCAACACTATGTTGAATAGGAGCAATCGCAACAAAAGCCAAAATTGACAAATGGGATCTAATTAAACTAAAGAGCTTCTGCACAGCAAGAGAAACTACCATCAGAGTGAACAGACAACCTACAAAATGGGAGAAAATTTTCACAACCTACTCAACTGACAAAGGGCTAATATCCAGAATCTAAAATGAAACTTAAACAAATTTACAAGAAAAAAACAAACAACCCCATCAAAAAGTGGGCAAAGGATATGAACAGACACTTCTCAAAAGAAGACATTTATGCAGCCAAAAGACACATGAAAAAATGCTCATCATCACTGGCCATCAGAGAAATGCAAATCAAAACCACAATGAGATACCATCTGACACCAGTTAGAATGGCAATCATTAAAAAGTCAGGAAACAACAGGTGCTGGAGAGGATGTGGAGAAATAGGAACACTTTTACACTGTTGGTGGGACTGTAAACTAGTTCAACCATTGTGGAAGTCAGTGTGGCGATTCCTCAGGGATCTAGAACTAGAAATGCCATTTGACCCAGCCATCCCATTACTGGGTATATACCCAAAGGACTATAAATCATGCTGCTATAAAGACACATGCACACGTATGTTTATTGCAGCACTATTCACAATAGCAAAGACTTGGAACCCACCCAAATGTCCAACAATGATAGACTGGATTAAGAAAATGTGGCACATATACACCATGGAATACTATGCAGCCATAAAAAATGATGAGTTCATGTCCTTTGTAGGGACATGGATGAAATTGGAAATCATCATTCTCAGTAAACTATTGCAAGGATGAAAAACCAAACACTGCATGTTCTCACTCATAGATGGGAATTGAACAATGAGAACACATGGACACAGGAAGGGGAACATCGCACTCTGGGGACTGTTGTGGGGTGGGGGGAGGGGGGAGGGATAGCATTAGGAGATATACCTAATGCTAAATGACGAGTTAATGGGTGCAGCACACCAGCATGGCACATGTATACATATGTAACTAACCAGCACATTGTGCACATGTACCCTAAAACTTAAAGTATAATAATAATTTAAAAAAATAAAGAAAGAAAGAAAGAAAAAGAAAAATTTTAAATGTTTTTTTGATATTGTGTACGAAAGTTATAGAAAAAATTTGAGACTTTAGATGATGTCAGGCCTTCTAGATGACTTTAAGTTGCTGGCAGTCAAAGTAGGGGAAGACTATGAAACATGGAATTTCAGTGGTTTGATGATGTATATCACTTTTTTTGAAGGCTTATGTATTTCAAACTTACTGCATTTTTTAGGGTATAGCTTTGCCAGGGTCCTAACTGGAATTCTGCTTTTTGTTTGCTTTATGCCTAGTAATTCTCCTCCTTCTTGACCGGCTCTGTTTTGTCTCAAGAGCCATATGAAATTACCAAATGCTCTGCTCATCTTCCTATCCTCTTGGCTGAAACATCTCAGCTTCATTACTTCTCGGCCCTAAGTCACAACCACCTCAAGAGGAAAAGTAGAACAAAATATTGGGTTTATCTCAATGCTGTTTTAATCTCTCTGAATCTCATTCTATCACATTTACAAACGATTGATTCTATAAACATGTGAGACTGCCAAAGCTTTTAGCCACTGCTTAGAAATCAGCAGATGACTCCAAAATCATTTGGCTCTTGATAGTTGCGGGGAAAAAATTGAAAAATTTCAATACATATTTATGATTAAAACAACAACTGGTTTATAAACTTGTTTTATAAAAGAATTTCTTTGATTTGGTGAGGGTTATGTACCAAAATCCACATCAAATACTCTTAATGAAAAACAGTAGTTAAATTCATTATTTTTAAGACTGGGGCTGGGTGCGGTGGCTTACGCCTGTAATCCCAGCACTTTGGGAGGCTGAGACAAGCAGATCACCTGAGGTCAGGAGTTCAAGACCAGCCTGGCCAGCATGGCAAAACTCTGTTTCTACTAAAATTATAAAAATTAGCCAGGTGTGGGGCACGCCTGTAATCCGAGCTACTCAGGAGGCTGAGAAAGGAGAATTGCCTGAACCTGAGAGGTGGAGGTTGCAGTGAGCCGAGATTGTGCCACTAACTCCAGCCTGGGCAATACAGCAAGATTCCATCTAAAAAAAAAGACTGGGAGCAAGAGTAGAATGCCCATTATTTTTCCTTCTGTTATACATATTGTTAGATATCTTGGACACTGAAAATTAAAAAGAATTATATTTGAAATGAATATCTAGATAGAGAATACAACCAAATCAATAAGTAATAGACCTCATAAATGAATTAAGCAAGGTTGCCGTATTTGAATCAATAAAAATTAATATTTCTCTACACCAGAAAAAACAACTAAAAATTGTAATGAAGCATGTCACCTTTCTTACTAGCAAGAAACAATAAAAGTGCCTAGGTATTAACTTACTCTATAGTGAATAGGACCTCAGTGGACAAAATGTTAATCCCTAAAAGATACATGGCAAATAATTTGAATAAGTGGGCCGGGCACGGTGGCTCACACCTGTAATCCCAGCACTTTGGGAGGCCAAGGCAGGTGGATCACGAGGTCAAGAGATCGAGACCATCCTGTCCAACATGGTGAAACCCTGCCTCTACTAAAAATACAAAAAATTAGCCAGGTGTGGTGGTGGGCACCTGTAGTCCCAGCTACTTGGGAGGCTGAGGCAGAAGAATCACTTGAACCCGGCAGGCAGAGGTTTCAGTGAGCTGAGATTGTGCCACTGCACTCCAGCCTGGCGACAGGGTGAGACTCCGTCTCAAAAATAATAATAATAATAATAATAATAATAATAATAATTTGAATAAGTGAAGAACTGTTTATTTTCTTACATGAGATGACATCATATTATAAAAAGACCAATTTTTCTCAAATAATTTTATAAGTGCAACTCAATTCCAGATCACATTTCAGTTGTATTTTTTGAGGAGTTTCACAAACATACTTTAAAAGTTCTATTGAAGAATGAAGTCCAAGAGTAACTCAATGCATCTTAAAAATGGAAAGTTTGAGGGAGAATCAGGGCTACCAGATATTATATACTTATATGAAGCAATGCAAGTGTGACAGTGTAAAATTGGCACCAGAACAGACACATGAAAAAAAAAGGAAGACAACTGATAGCCAACAGATAGAATCATTTATATTTGGAATTAAACATCACATAAACAGGGCATCTTCCTCAAATCCATAAAAA
Organism: Homo sapiens; assembly: GCF_000001405.40. NCBI lineage: Eukaryota > Metazoa > Chordata > Mammalia > Primates > Hominidae > Homo > Homo sapiens. The sequence continues at coordinate 238,212,100 of NC_000001.11, forward strand.
AAGACAACTTGTCAAGGAGATCAGGGTGCCCAACCCTTGGGCCATGGATTGGTACCAGAAAGTTATACAGATAAAACAAATATCAAATATGGTTTATTCCATGGAACATGTTAGACCCTCAGCAATCACCTTTCTTTTCCTTTTCTTGATATTCTCCTTTCCCATCCAGTATGGCACTTCATTCAACCACAACTGCTGGAAATGGAGACTAAAGTCACACACCACTATTTTAGACATTAAGACACCTATTTCTTTGGGAATATACAAGTTTACCCTAGTAGTCTGAAACCGGAAATAGTACCAGTCCATGGCCCATTGGGAACTGAGCCGCACAGCAGGAGGTGAGTAACAGGCAAGTGAGCATTACCACCTGAGCTCCACCTCCTGTCAGATCAGCAGTGGCATTAGATTCTCATAGGAGCAGGAACCCTACTGTGAACTGCGCATGTGAGGGATCTAGGTTGCATTTTCCTTATGAGAATCTAATGCCTGATGATCTGAGGTGGAACAGTTTTATCCCAAAACCATCCCCCACCCCAACCCTGTCCATGGTAAAATTGTTGTCCATGAAACCAGTTCCTAGTGCCAAAAAGGTTGGGGACTGCTGTGGAAGATGATAATAAGAAAACTATTTACTAGATTAAGAAAAATAAAGCTGGCTCCTCACTTAACACATACAAAATGTGAGCTCTAAAGGATTAGGTACTCAAATTGAAAGGTAATTTATAGGCCTAATAGATTATGTATGCAGTTATCTATGTGGGCTAGAAAACAAAGATTTCTTCAAAGAAATGACTCCCAGAGTTCAAACACAAAAGCAAAAAGTTGATTAATTTTATTTTATCAAAACTAAGGACTTCTATTACTATTACACAAAACTCCATGAAGAAAGATAATTTTTTGAATTAAAGAAAATATTTTCAATGTCTAAATTAAACAAAATATCCATATCTACAATCTCCAAGGCACTCCTGCAAACCACAAGAAAGACAACAAACAATCTCAACAGGGCAAAGGACATGAATAGGCAATTTATACAGAAAAAAATTCAAGGCCATTAAGCACATGTTATAAGTCATTACTAATTTGAGATATTGAAATAAAATATATAATAATGTATACATTTTAGGCTGGTGAAAATTAGTAATCTTTGTGTTGGCAGTTATGTGGGCTATAGCAAGTCCCCTGCACTGCCCTTTTGATTGTGACCCATGCATTCCTTCTGGAGAGGTACAGTCTTGCCAGAGCCCTACTGAGTTTATTAAATATGCACATATTGTTTTCCTGAGTATATGTATTAGTCTGCTTTCACACTGCTATAAAGAAATACCTGAAACTGAGTAATTTGTAAAGAGAAGAGTTTTAATTGACTCACAGTTATGCATGGCTGTGGAGACCTCAGGAAACTTACAATCATGGTGGAAGGTGAAGGGGAAGCAAGGCACGTCTTACATGTTCACAGGCAAGAGAGAGTGAAGGAAGAACTTCCAAACACTTATAAAATCATCAGATCTTGTGAGAACTCACTATCATGAGAACAGCATGGGGAAACTGCCCACATGATCCAAACACCTACCTCCCTCAACACATGGGAATTACAATTTGAGATGAGTTTTGGGTGGGGACATAGAGCCAAACCATATCATTCCTCCACTCACCCTTTCCAAATCTGATGTCTTTTTACATTTCAAAAACATTCATCCCTTCCCAACAGTTTCCCAAACTCCATTTCAGCATTAATTCAAAAATACACAGTCTGAAGTCTCATCTGAGACAAGGCGAGTCCCTTCCACTTATGAGCCTCTAAAATCAAAAGCAAGTTAGTTACTTCCTAGATAGAATGGCAGTACAAGCATTGGGTAAATGCTCCCATTCCAAATAGCAGCAATTTGCCAAAACAAAGGGCCTACAGGTCCCATGCAAGTCCAGAATCCACTGGGGTGGTCATTACATCTTAAAGCTCTGAAATAATCTCCTTTGATTCCATGTCTCACATCTGGGGCACACTGTTGAGTAGGCTCCCACTGCCTTGGGCAACTCCTTCACGGGCTGGTGTTGAGTGCCTGTGGCTTTTCCAGGTGCACAGTGCAAGCCATTGGTGGATGTACCATTCTGGGGACTGGAGGATGGTGGCCCTCTTTTCACAGCTCCACTAGACAGTGCCCAGTGGGGACTCTGTGTGGGGGCTCCAACCCCACATTTTGCCTTTGCGCTGCCCCAGCAGAGGTTCTTCACGACGGCTCTGCCCCTGCAGCAGACTTCCACCTGGACATCCAGGTGTTTCCATACATCCTCTGAAATCTAGGTGGAGGTTCCCAAAGATCAACTCTTGTGTTCTGTGCACCTGCAGCCCCAACACCATGTGGAAGCCACCAAGGCTTGGGACTTGTACCTTCTGAAGCAATGGCCTGAGCTGTACCTTGACCCCTTTTAGCCACGGCTGGAGGTGGAGCAGCTGGGATCCAGAGCACCATGTCCTGAGGCTGCACAGAGCAGTGGGGCCCTGGGCCCAGTCCAGTAAACCATTATTCCCTTCTGGGCCTCCAGGTCTGTGATGGGTGGGGCTGCCATGAAAGTCTTTAACATGCCCTGGAGACGTTTTCCCCACTGTCTTGGCAATTAACATTTGGCTCCTAGTTACTTATGCAAGTTTCTGCAGCCTTGAATTCCTCCCCAGAAAATGGGTTTTTGTTTTCTACTACATGGTCAGGCTGCAAATTTTTCAAACTTTTATGCCTTGCTTCCCTTTTGAACATAAGTTCCAATTTCAAACCATTTGTCTCAAGTTGAAGGTTCCACAGATCTCTAGGGCAGGGGCAATAGGCCACCAGTGTCTTTGCTAATGCATAGCAAGAGTGATCTTTGTTCCAGTTCCCAATAAGTTCTTCATCTCCATCTGAGACCACCTCATCCTTGACTTGGTTGTCCAAATCACCAACAACATTTTGGTCAAAACCATTCAACAAGTTTCTAGGAAGTTCTAAACTTTTCCACATCTTCCTGTCTTCTTCTGAGCCCTACCAAACTGTTGTAACCTTTGCCCATTACCCAGTTCCAAAGTCACTTCCCCATGTTCAAGTATCTTTATAGCAGTGCTCCACTCTCTGTGGTACCAATTTCCTGTATTAGTCTATTTTCACACTGCTATAAAGAAATACCCGAGACTGGGTAATTTATAAAGGGAAGAAGTTTAATTGACTCAAAGTTCTGCATAGCTGGGGAGGCCTCAGGAAGCTTATAATTATGATGAAAGTTGAAGGGGAAGCAAGGCATGTCTTACATGGTGGCAGTTGAGAGAGCAGGAAGAACTTCCAAACACTTATAAAATGATCAGCTATCATGAGAATCCACTCCCTATCACAAGAACAGCATGGAGGAAACTGCCCCCATGATACAGTCACCTTCCTCCCTCAACATATGGGGATTACAGGTCCTTCCCTCGACACATGGAGATTACAATTTGAGATGAGTTTTGGGTGGGGACACAGAGCCAAACCATATCAGTATACATCCTTGTGAGAAATCTCACATTTGTCCATAAAGGACATGCACAAGAACATGTTCATAAAAGAAATGGGGAGGGAGTGACAGTCTAGGACTCTGTCATTGGGAGTGGATATGGTGGATGCACCTAATTGCAGGAGTATGTGGGTTAGCCACCTGCTATTGTAAAGTTTATTGCCACAAAGCCAAATCTATTTGTTCATGTATTGTCTATGACTGCTTTATGTTACAATGGCAGAATTCAGTAGTTGTGACAGAGACCAAATGGCCACAGAAGCCTAAAATATTTAATATCTGGCCCTTTCAGCAAAAGTTTACCAATCATTTTATCATTCTTAACCCTGATCTTTATTAACTTACAGTTGGCCTAAATTACTGAGGATAATTCCTCTGCTAGATAATTATCTAGTAGGGTAAAAGCATGAAGAGAAAGTAAAAAGTACCTTTTATTTGAACACTTACAGTGTTGCTGGCATTGTACTAAGAGCTTTACCACTATTACACTATCAGATGCTCACACTCCATATTACACAGGAAGAAATGAAAACACAGCAAGGTTAAGTGCATTGCCCAGGGTTAAACAGCTAGTGTGGTGTAAACAGGACTATAATTTAAGCAGTTCCAGAAACAACAGGTTTAATCACTAAACTACATTAACATTATATACATTTTCCTTAGGGGACAAAGTGAATGTTAGACAAGAACGCATGGCTGTAGATTAAATCGCTGTGTCATTACTACACAAGTTATGCTGTGATCTATCTCTGGGGCCTCCAAAATAATTTAAGGGTACAAAAAGTAATCTCTTTAAAATGTGTGTTAGTAGGCACTATTCCTTGCAAAGCAAAAAGATCCTCCTATTCAAGTTTACAACCATGGGTCCTACCTTGGCAGAAACTGATAAACGGTAGTTTCCTAATTGGGAGCAGGAAGGTACTGAAATGAGAGGGGCTACTGCAGTGGTCATCTATTTATGTAGAAGAGCACAAATAAAAGGAATCTTAGCAATGGCTCATTTCAAATCCCTCATTTACTAGATGAAGAAAAGGAAGTCCCAAGATAAGAATTGCCAAAAGCTTATTACTATAGTGCAAAAGCTGGGGCAAGAACAAGGTATCCCAATGTTCACTGTATTGACAGTGGGGAAGGAGTAGAGTAGGGGGGAGTTCTGGAGAAAAAACCAACTACCTAATATGGTATCTGGTAGGACTAGAACAAGATATCCTGCTTATTCCATTGAGAGGATGGGGAGGGAGTGGAGAAGGAGAAAGTTATATAGATAAAATAAATACCCAATATGGTGTCTTGCTTGGAACATGTTAGACTCTCTTTTTTTCCTTTCCTTGATATTCTCCTTTCCTATCCAATATGGCACTTCATTCAACCTCAACTACTAGAAATGCAGACTAAAGTCACTCACCACTATTTCAGACTTTATGATACCTATTTCTTTGGGAATATACAAGTTTACTATAGTAGCCTGAAACCAGAAATAGTTTGACATTTAATAAAAAGATATTACTATAAAATAAAACCTATAGATTATAGGACTTGACAAAACTATAGGTCATATACACTTAAAAATAAATATCAAGCCAGAGTTTATAAATGCTTTGCCACAAACCAGGTTTAAAATGGCTTTCCTTGGTATGCTTGCATAGTTACATTAACAGAAAAATCAGCATATCATTTACTTGCTTAGTGCCCATAGTCATGTTGATAATTTCAATTCATTTTAATTTCTGAGTTGAACTGATTAGTTTCTGATGCTTGAATGGGCTGTCAGCATGTAAACATTGGGTAAAAAGATAAACTGTATGGCATGGGTTATTATGTTTTTGTAATGCTATCTGTTTAATTCTGTTTTATACTTTCCAGGGAAAGCCTCACAGGTAATACTTCTCTTCAAATTTCTGTGTGTTTTAGTCTTTTTGTGCTGTTATAATGGAATGCTTGCAGTTGGGTAATTTATAAAGAAAAGAGGTTCATTTGGCTCTCAGTTCTGAAGGCTGTACAACAAGCCTAGTGTAGCATCTGCTTCTAGTAAGGGCCTCAGGAAGCTTCCAATCATGGCAGAAGGTGAATGGGAGCCAGTGTGTGCAGAGATCGTATGGTGAGAAAGGAAGCAAGTTGGGGGGAGGTGCCAGGCTCTTTGTAACAATCAGCTCTTAGGGGAAGTAAGGGAGCAAGAACTCACTCATTCTCTCCCTCCTCCCAGGGAAGACATTAATTTATTCATGAGAGATCCACCGTCATGACCCAAACACCTCTCATTAGGCACCACTTCCAACATTGGGATCAAATTTTAGCATGCAGTTTGGAAGGACAAACATCCACACTGTAGCACTGTGCAAATAAATTACTACCATGGAATAATGTATTTTATGTTAAAATATTATAAGAAAATCATTTTAAAGGCTACTATAATAAAATAAAACTACCCACCCAGGTAATGTTTTAAATTCTTTTTTATTTTAAAACAATAAGTTAATTGGCACTTTTTCAATTTACTTTATTATTTTAACATTTAGACTCATTAGGAGGTAATAATTGTCTAGTGAAAAGATGTTATTCCAAGAGGTAGTGACTTCTTCCAACTTCCTTCTTCTCAATTTGTCTTCTCTGTCCACGTTATCTTGGATGTCTGAAGAGAATTCTGGTGGAGACCTATTTTTCTGTGTTCGGTGTGAATAAACAATTTAAAGGGCAACACCTAGAGCTTTCTATATAAGGGGTGAGGGATAATTAGTCATTTAGAAAGGTGCTTTGCAACACTGCGTAACACTAAAGAAAATGGGCATAGCAATAAGTGTAAAAGGTCAGAGCACTAAAATGGAGGCAAGGAAAAAGGCTGAGTAATTCTGCAAGCTAAGTAACTTTGTAACTTTGGTGAGAAGCTTATCCTTCGTGGCCGTATTTTTTCACCTCTAAAATAAAGGAATTAGGATAGATCATCTCAGTGAGCCTTTTGGTTCTAGAATTCTAAGATTCTCAACTGAACAAAAAAGTAAACTATTAGTAGAGATTTTAGCAGTTGAATTTATACTAGGATGCAAGTGTCTTTCTAATGCTATTTACCTTTAATCAGATCCTGAATGTTTTTGTGTAAACTTTCAGGTAAAACTAAGTTGAGTCTTCAATATAACTTGGTTTGTGTGAACTTCTTACCATTATCTGTTTTTGATTTTTATATGTAAGGAAAAAAGAGAAAGAAGACAGCTTGCCTTCTCTTTATCCAGTCTCTGGAGAGAAATTAAAGTGGGCACATGAAATGCATTGATTAGTAAATATAGCCGATACCCACATATTCCAGCTGGTCTTCTCTCAGCTTCTTGTATTCCAGTTCCACTGAAAAAAAGTTTGACATTGGGTATATATGTAGTAGATTGAAAAATGGTCTCCCGAAAGATATCAGGTCCTAATCCCTGGAAACTATCTGTTACCTTACTTGAGATACAGGGTCTTTGCAGATGCGATTAAGCTAAGGATCTTGAGATGGGGCAAGTGTTCTGGATTATCCTAGTGGGTCCTGAATGCCATCACAAGTGTCCTTATAAGAGAGAGGCAGGCTAGATTTCATAGACAGATGAGAAAAAGGCAATGTGAAGATAGAGGCAGAGATTGGGCTGATGTGGCAATGCAACAAGACATAGCAACAGCCACCTGAAGCTGGAAGAAGCAGGCAACAGATTTTCCCCTCAGTCCTCCTCAGAGACCATGCAGAGACAAAGCAAGAGACTTGAAGATTGGAGTGATGTGGTACAGACGAAAAGAATGCTGGAAGTCACCAGAACTGAAAGAAAGCAAGGGGATGGACAGAGCCTCTCCTAGACCTCTGAAGAGAGTGAAGCCCTGCAGACACCTGGATTTCAGCCCAGTGATACTGATTCCAACTTCAAGTCCCAGAATGGTGAGAGAATAAGTTTCTCTTAAAAACTAAATTGGTGATTGTTTGTTACAAAAGCCGTGAAAAACTAACACTGTGTGTAGAGAAACAAGTGATTCAAAAGGTTAGACAGAGGGCAGATGCTGAGACATGGTGGTATCCCAAGCAAATTCCCAATCCCTAACTCTATACTAGAACCGACAGAACACCTGGGACTAACTCAAAGGGGAAAGTAAGGACCTGGATCAGCTGGAAGGACCCTTTCTAATTGCAGATGTGTTGCGAATTTTGTTTCTGAAGAGTTCCAATAGTTGAGAGAACTCTCTGTAGAGCAACAGACTTCAGTAGTCTATGGGGGTAGTGGGGATGGGACTGTCAGGAAGAATGCTTTTGGAGACCAGACTGAGAAGCTTTTTTCACTATGTTTTTAGAAAGAAGAGTCTGACCCAAATTCTTAAAAAAAATCAGAATAGATTTGCCAAATTTCTTTATGTGTCTGGGACTATGTGAAATGTACGTAAGTAGATTTACATTTGCGGAATCAAGCTTTCTATTACTTAAAAGCTGCAGCAAATACCCTAAATGAAGACATATAAATAATCATTTGGTGATATGATAGAGACTGTTAGTTGTTTACCAAAATCTAAAACGAATCTATTTCTTCTACTGGAATACGAATAGATTACATTTCCCTGCTTCAACTGAACTTAGATGTGAGACCCAACTCATGTCATTGAGTTCTACTGAGTGGATGCAGATCAAGATAAATAGTAGAAGGAGAAGAGATCAGGAGAAGACACACAAAATGACAGTCATTTCCACTCAGATTCTATTAGATAGAACTCAAAGATGATGGAGCCACAGGTGGATGAGATGTAGGTCTCTAAATCACCATTTGGAGCAAAACCACTGATGACCTGGAAAACCTGCAGCAGAGTATCGTAAAATAATAAATTTCTATTGTAATAAGACACACAGGTATTTTAGGTTCATTTGCTGCTACAGTCTTGCCTAATATACAGAAATAGGCATTTTTATATAAGCCGCTGCTCTAACAATAACAATATGGATAACTGAAAGTGGAAATGGATATCATACTCTGAAAAGTTGACAAAGTTTGGTCTAATGTTTAGTAAAACAGTCACGTGTACTAACTTGCAAGGCAGGCTGGGTGACTCTAGGAGAAGTGGTTGGAAAGTGTAGTATGGACTTTTACTTTTTACTTTAGTAAGGCATTACATCTAAGGTGAGGTGAAGTGGGAATTTGCAGGTTTGTGGAAGAAGAAATAAAGAGTAGAGATATTTGGGGCCTTACACAATTGGAAAACAAAGTACTTTGAACTTCCAAACAGTGGGAGTTAAGGAAGCTTTCTCTCTTTACCAGCCTATGTTTTAGATGGTTTTAAAGTAGCTGCCATTAAGGTGAGAACTAGAAAGGTAGAGATGGGGCAAAAAAAAATCAGGATAATAGAGAAGACCTATTATCTTTTTCCAGAAAGGTAATTTGATTATGGATAATGAAACATGGAACTGATTGGAAGCACAGAGGAAATCTACTAAACTTTAGAGGGATTCACATTGCTAAAGAGACCACAAGCCTGGCTTTAAAATCTTGTGACTGCTTAAGCCTTAAAATAATCTGTAGGCCTTTGTACTTGCACAGGGTCACTTAGAGACATCATGAAAATGCAGATTCCCGGCCTCAACCACCAAGGATACTACGTGGCACATGAAAAATGCTGCCCTTCTCACCCCAAAGATGTCCAGAACCTAATCCCCAAAACTGTGACCATGTAATATATAATATGTAGTAATTTATTTTTAATTTCTCCCAAACCTCCAATATTCAAAAACTAAACTAACCTCTTCTTTTTTTTTCTTTTTTCTTTTTTTTCTTTTTTTTGAGACGGAGTCTCGCTCTGTCACCAGATTGGAGTGCAGTGGCATGATCTCGGCTTACTGCAACCTCTGCCTCCCAGGTTCAAGTGATTCTCCTGCCTCAGCCTCCCCAGTAGCTGGGATTATAGGCACCTGTTGCCGCACCCAGCTAATCTTTATATTTTTAGTAGAGACGGGATTTCACCATGTTGGCCAGGCTGATCTTGAACTCCTGACCTCAGGTGATTTACCTGCCTCGGACTCCCAAAGTGCTGGGATTACAGGCATGAGCCACCGTGCCTGGCCACTAATCTCTTCCTTATACCTGTAACAGCTCTGTGCCAACTACATGCATATATCTGTGCATACACAGGCAGACACACGTTGCCTTTCTTGTACATTTCAACACTATTAGCACCCAATTTCTTGTGATCAGTGCCACATAGACACAAACCCACTGCTGAATGGCTTTTCTTCACAACAATCTATGGCTCGTGCCAGCATGAGGAGAAGCCCATGCAGACAGCTGTGCTCACTTCACTCAGTGATCTGAACACTTCACTGACTGTCTTCGGCTCATTTGTTGAACACTAAACCTTTTGGTCATGCATTGAAGATCCTCTGCCATCTAAACGTAAAACATTCTTCCAGTTTCATCTCTCATAGTAGTTTCTAAAAACATAGCTAACATTGTAGCCAAATTTGATGACTCTCAAGTTCAACCAAAATTCCTTTCCTGTCTCTGCATTTTCTTAAGTCATTTTCTCTAGTTCAATTATTTTTAAATTTACTCAAGTTAAACTTTCTCCTTTCGCCTTTGGAACTGTACACATTTTTTAAGCCCTAGCTTAGGTGCCACATTCTCCATGAGCATTTTTGAAATTTCATTTATTTGAAAGAACAGTACTCCCTTGGCACAGTCAGTTGGCTTGTAATTATTCTGGCTTTCATAATAGTTGGTTGTATAACTGTCTTATGTCCTTTAATGGATTGTAACCTCTTTTTGGACAAGCACCAGTCTTAATTATTTTTAAATCCATCAATCAGCCCAATGGCTTACACAAAAAGCTCAACAAATATTTGTTGAGTAAATTAATTGTTGGATGAGTAAATCTATAAATGAACTTAATGAAGGCTGGAATTTTGTACCAGCAGCCAGTTTTTATGGTGTTCAAATGTAATGACATTATAGTTATATGTATCCATGTATGTGGATATATTATATATCCACATATGTGGGTATGTATGTACACATGCACACACATCTATATGCATACTTATATATACATATGCATACATATATTTACATATTTGTAAGGTGACATTGAGGAAGTTCAAGTTTTTCAAAACATATTGTAAAACTTATTAAACATTACTTGTATTTCATGTATAAATTAGTTAATAATTTTAATAACATTTTTTGACCATATGATATAGTCTGTAAATATGAATACATGTTTAAAAGTGTATTTCTTTTAAAATGGTCTCTTTTAAACTGTTATGTAAATAATCACATAGGAGATATCAGAAGTGAGGACACGTTCCACCCAGTGTCCTTGTTTTCTCACTTGTCTTGATTAAGAGAATGGGGCTCATTTATTAGTCCCTTTCTTTCTTCCTTTATGGAAAGTGTAGCATTTGTAGAAAATAATCATGTATCACTGAAGCAACTGAAACTGAAGCAAAATGTATAGCCTATTATGACAGTAATAGTCCAGAAGGGTAATGCAGTCCTGATAAAATAAATATGAGATTGCTGTTGTTTTGTGTCACAGAAAATGTAAAGTCCCCTTTCTATAGCTGGGCTTATAGCCTTGTTTATCTCTTGTGCCATTTTGCCGTTCAATTTACTGTGTAGTGATTGTCTAATACAATGAAAACCAGAAAATCTTCCACTGAGCAATGCCATGCTGTCACCTAGCTCTTTCCAGGGAGAAAATAGGATTGGAAGAGATGATTACAGTGAAGAAGCACTGTTATATATTGGAAGATGGTGAATATGGCATTTTTTCAGCTACATTGTGTGACTAACAACAGCATAAAACCTTAGGCTTTGCCCTAGCAGAATGAGTGACATATATGACTCACTAACTGCGTGGTATGTCCTAATTTCTCCTGCCTGCTTGAAAACCAGACTGCCTAAAACAGTAAAATGGGTTATTAGAGCACGTCTGAGTTACAATTAAGTAAAGTGAGAAACACTGAAGTGGAAAGCAGACCAAGTTCACCCTTACTTTGACTGGCTGTTTCACATCACAAAGATACAAAGCAATTTTATATTCTTTAATATTGAGAAGGACTGTAAACTGTTTGTTCTTTTATACCAAATCTCCCATGGCCTGCAGAATTTGGTAACCCGTAATTCGTTTATATGCCTTGCTAGTCCAACCCAAGACTGGGGCTTGAATCCCTCACTGAAGTGTTCATTAGCATTATAATCAGCCTCACTCTCAATTTATGTGTTGATTTGTTTGTATTTTAGTCTCTCTTTACTTTGAGAAGTAACTTGAAACAGTTTATAATGTAAATACACATATGGGAGTTAAAAATAAAGACTAAAGGTAAGAAAATATCGAGAAAAAAGTAAAATAAATACTAGAGCTTCCAAAGTTTCACCAGGAAATGAGGAATTCAGGCAAGGGATGGTTTTTTCCCTCATGGAAAAAGAAGCAGAATGAGATCAGAGATCTTGGGAGTAAACAGACCTTGATTTGAGAGGATCTGAAACCACCATGTTGTAAGACACACTGCTGGGAACATTTATACATTTTCTTTATTTTCTCTTTGGTCTTAGTATCTAGTTAACTATTTTAATGAAAATATCCGTCATGACTAGACTCAGGCATGGCACACCAAGGGGATAGCTGTGGTGACTGGCCAAACTGGGAAATGTCTGCACATCACTCTCTTCCTATCTCCAGAGACTATTTTCAGATTGAAATCTGCAGGGTCTGAATTCCCGTCTATTTTGGGAAGCCACATTCCACTATTAAGGTGAAAGACCACCCCTAAGCGATTGATAACAGAAGGTTATTAGCTTTGTGTTTCCTGGCAGCCAACAGATAGCAACACAGCTTGCAAGAGTTATCTGATAAAATACACCGTAACACTTTAGAAGAAACAAACTTTTACTTGGCACTACATTCTAGTAGAATTTACCTTATATTTTACTGACTTTATGAAAAGGATTCTCCATCTCCAATAGCAGGTTTGCAGGATATGCAAACATCTTTGATTTTGGTTTTAATTTTAATAAAGTCGAGGGTCACACTGTTAAATTATAATTTACTAACCTCCTTTGCTCTGTTATTATTGGCTGTGTCTTAGACCAGCAGTCTCCAACATTTTTGGCACCAGGAACTGGCTTCATGGAAGACAATTTCTCCATGGACTGGTAGGGGGGCGGGGTATGGTTTCAGGATGATTCAAGTGCATTACATTTACTGTGCACTTTATTTCTATTATTATTCCATTGTAATATATAATAATTATATAACTGACCATAAAGTGGAATCAGTGGGAGCCCTGAGCTTGTTTTCTTGCAACTAGATGGTCCCATATGGGAGTGATGGGAGGCAGTGACAGATCTTCAGGCATTAGATTCTCATAAGGAGCATGCAACCTAGATCCCTTGTATGCACAGTTCACAACAGGGTTTGCACTTCTATGAGAATCTAATGCTGCTGCAAATCTGACAGGGGTCAGAGCTCAGGTGGTGAAGGGAATGATGGGGAGCAGCTGTAAATACGGATGAGGCTTCACTCACTCACCCACTGCTCACCTCCTGCTGTGTGCTCCTTAGACCATTGTTCCTAGAGGCATGTGTATTTAGCAGGCACTTTAAATTGTCTTTCTTGAATATTAATTATCTCATCAGCACTTAAGGATAACTTATTTATGAGAAAGAAAAAATAAATTAGGAAATAAACATTTCCTTAATTACAACAAAGACTACATATAAAAAAGATATTGGAGAAAGTGCGAGAAAGAGAGATAGGTGGGAAACAGGTTTTAATAATATTAATATTTAAATGCTTTATTGTCACATGCAATCTCTTTCTCCAGATCTGCTATTTTTTTCTTGGAAGTCTTCCTGGTTTGGCATGCTCCAAGGAAGATCAACAATATAGTATTAGCATATTTCCAAAAGCCTATGGACAAGATAGATTTCTGAGAAGTGCTGCTTATTTCTAAGTGAGTACTCTCTTATAATATTGGCTCTTTCCATTACTATTTATCCAAAGCCTATTTAGATGAATATCCTTTCCTTACATTCTCTAAAATAGCTGCATTTAAAATATAACACCCCAGTATACCCAAAGCCTCTATAAGGTGAATATGAATAAAATCAATTTAAAGTATAATTACTGCAATTTCACAGTGAAGACTCTTTGCATCAAGATTTCAGTTTTTGAAGACTATAAATGTTGAGGGGATCATAAAATAACAATCATTTGGTGAAGGCCCAGATTTTATGCTTTCGAAATAGCATGAGGTTTATGACAACATTACACCAAAGGTATCTAAAACGAAAACCAAAATTTTTGCCAGAGTTGATTGTCTCATCAACAGGTGTCCTAATAAATTCAGTTAGTTTTCCCTGAAGGTGGTGAGCAGTGGGATACTAATTTTATGCTAATTTTGACTTTGATTCCTTTATATCATTAATTTATTCCTCAGCAGTGACATGTCCTGAACTTCACAGTAAAGTCAAAGATCTCTAGAGATTGAGTTAATTAGGTCAACAGAAAGGAGAGTATGTAAAGCTTAGTTTTAGGTGTGAAAACTCATAATTAACCCCACTTATTTTAAAGGTACTAGTATCCAAGTTTTTTCTTTGTAGAATAATTGTATAATGCATTATTGAAGAAAAATTCCTACTTCTTTACAAAATCTTTCCAGTAAGGGGTAATATTTACAAAAGTTGTTATCAGTGGCCACAATAAACAGAATTCTTCTTTGGTTTCATATTTTCCCCTATGGACAATATATGATGTATTAAGCTATTCTCAGGCTGCTGATGAGGACATACCTGAGACTGGGTAATTTATAAAGAAAAAGAGGTTTAATGGACTCACATTTCCACGTGGCTGAGGAGGTCTCACAATCATGGCGGAAGGTGAAAGTTACATTTTACATGGCGGCAGACAAGAGAATGAGAACCAAGTGAAAGGGGTTTCCCCTTATAAAACCATCAGCTCTCCTGAGACTTATTCATTACCATGAGAACAGTATGGGGGAAACCTCCCCCATGATTCAGTTTTCTCCCACTGGGTGCCTCCCACAACATGTGGGAATTATGGGAGCTACAATTCAAGATGAGATTTGGATGTAGACACAGCCAAACCATATCATATGTCTTACAAGTGGGCTTCAAGTGTGAAAGGTTTTGTTGTAGCTCTCTCTCTCTCTCTCTCTCTCTCTCTCTGTGTGTGTGTGTGTGTGTGTGTGTGTGTTTTGTATAGTAAAGAATTTAATCTTATTCAAGGAGAGATATGGCTTTGTCCTTGTCTTCTGGAAGGTAATATCTAAGCCCTTGGAACATTGTTTCTGACAGGAGTGTAACAATGTGATTTAGGGCAGGGGGTTGGCTATGCCAGGCATTCCAACAATGTGATTTGATGTGGGAGCCTTGGGTCACCGAGTAACAGCTTGACCTCTAGAGGGGCTGGACACTGGATGAGCCATGTGTGTAGTCAGCTGTGCCTGCAGATGGAGTGCCAGCAAGGACTCTGGGCACCAAGGCCTGGGTGAGCTTCCCTGGTTGGCAACACTCTGACCTTATTGTCACACTTGAAGACAACACTTTCCATGACTGTGCAGAAAGGACAACCGGAAGCTCTGAATTTGGAACCTTCCTGGACTCTGCTCTATGTGCCTCTTCATTTGGCTGATTTTATTCCCTATCCTTTAGCTGTGATACACTGTAGCCACGTGTATAGCAGCTTTATGGAGCCATCTATCATTCACCAGAAGCTGTGTCCAAGGATACATAATTTCACTCTTAAAATCATCTATGGTTTCGGCTGGGGTAGGTATTGTTGAAGCATTTCTGTTCTGAACTCAGAGTGCATAAAATAAAGATTAAGAGTAATGGCTTTAAGAATTCACTAAAAATTCTTGAACTTTACGCCTTCCTCAGTTTCATATTGTAGTTTCCTTCTTTCTTTCTTTTTGTTGGGGGACAGGGTCTGGTGCTATCGCCCAGGCCGGAGTACAGTGGCCCAATCATGGCTCACTGCAATCTCTGCCTCCTGGGCTCAACAGATCCTCCTGCCTCAGCCTCCTGAGGAGCTGGGACCACAGACAAGCACACTCAGCTAATTTTTGTATTTTTTTGGTAGAGATGGGGTATTGTCCAGGCTGGTCTTGAACTCCTGGACTCAAGCAATCTGCCCACCTCGGCCTCCCAAAGTGCTGGGATTACATGTGTGAGCTACCATGCCCAGCCTGTAGTTTCTTTTTGATGATTATCCGGGAAGGGATTCGAGAGGAGCTACAGTCAGCACATCTAAGTCTGCAACTAGTCCTGAGTGGGAGCAGCTTATTCAGGGGAGAAGTAGGGTGGCTGAGTCCTTTCCCTTAGCAGCAAGGTGGATATTGGAGCACAGAACAATTGCCACGACATGGCTTTAAGGCTTAAGTCTAGGAAGAATTGGGAGGATTTCCCAAAGGAAGTTCGGTGGCAAAAATGTGTGAGTTTTAATGTACAGGAAAAAAATTACAAAATAACAAAAATCTGTCTGTGGTTATCAATCAGCCTCCTATTTGTATTTTCATCCCTACTTTCTGTTATCCAGTTTAAGGGTCATGCATGCATGTGGCTCATGGGACATTGAAGCCACACCTATCACCAGAGCTTCACTTCATATCACGAACTTTATTCCCACACATATTCTTCAGAGCATAGTATAGCTTCTCAGGTAATTTAAAATCAGTGGTTAATTAGATAACAGACTATTCGTAGGTGATTCTCCCATGGAGATTTAAACTCAAAGATGTTTGTGTTGTTAAATACTCTTGGCACTTCTCCTTCCAGGTACACAGTAGGTTTGTATTTTCTAGCCGTATTTGGTGAGGAGGGGGCATGTAACTAGTTCCGGCTCAAGGTGTGAGCCGAAGAGTTGGGTGCCGCTACTTGGCTAGAGAATGTAATTACCAAAGTAAAACCATCAAGACCTCTACCTCTAAGGCATTAACTGAAGGAAATCATGATAGTAACTGGCTAATGACACTGTTGTAAAGATTGAATTTTCACAGTGTCTACTAAGTGGTTAGCATAGAGTTCAACAAATATTAACTATTTAATAAATATTAGTCATTAACCTGTCACAATTTGATATGATAATATAGCAACATTTTATAAATAAGCTGTCACAAAAAATTTATTCCATACATCCAATCATGTCTTTAGAGTGAAGTCATGATTTTCCACTGTCAAACAATTGAATAATTTTAAAAATATTAATGTTGGGTGAATAAATTAGTAGTAAGTAAATATGTACAAAAAAAGATTTTTTGGGCTTTATGAATAAGTTGACTCTTTGAATCACCCCCGCACACATTCTCTTGTCCTCCCTGGGAGGCTGCCTGACAAAGTTGAACTCAGAACCTTCAAAGTTGAACTTAGAGGCATATAAATGCAGCTCCCTAAATTAATAGTTTTGTGATGCTGGGAAAGTTGCTTAAACTCTTTGACAGGTAGATTCCTCCTTTTTTAAATTTGGCTGATTCAAAATGTATTGTGATGTTTATATTAAATATATAAGCACACACACACATTAAATTTGCCAAGTACATCTCCTGTCTTCTGAAAACAAAATCTCCTACATTATGTTTTGGGACCCATTCTTCTCCCTAGTCCAACCATGATTCAGGTGGCCCCTGCCAATCACAGAAGCCATTCCTAACTCTACCTCTCCCATCCCCAATCCTGGCCACAAAGACAGCATATTACCCAAGATGAACCAGTCTTTCCCTGGCATTTTTTACATTAGAATAATGGAAGAGAGTCTCTTCCTTTCTGATAACAGAGTTAGAAAGATGAACCAGTAGCTGCCAGCAGCCAAAGTCCCAACTTCATGGCAACAGTCGGTCAGAGATCGAAGTCCAAGGGAGAGAGATGGAGAGGGCGTGAGCGTGTGTGTTTTCCAACTTTCTTTTTTTTTTTTTTTTTTTTTTAAGACGGAGTCTCGCTTCTTCGCCCAGGCTGGAGTGCAACCGCGTGATCTCAGCTCACTGAAACCTCTGCCTCCCGGGTTTAAGCAATTCTCCTGCTTCAGTCTCCCAAGTAGCTGGGATCACAGGCATGTGTCATCCACCACGCCTGGCTAATTCTTGTATTTTTAGTAGAGACGGGGTTTCACCATGTTGGCCAGGCTGGTCTCGAACTCCTGACCTCAAGTGATCCGCCCGCCTCGGCCTCCCAAAGTGCTGGGATTACAGGCGTGAGCCACTGCACCTGGCGCCAACTTTCGATTATTCTTGGGTTCCTGTGGTACCCCTTCCCTGGCCTCAGTTTTGTTGTGTGAACTAATGCAGTCCCTTTTTGCCTTAGCTAATTTATTAAGAGTTTTATTTTTTGTTTGGTTTATTTTAATTGTTTTCATTTTTTGATAATTTTCATGTTTTGATCAGTTAAACTAAATGAACTGTAATGCTCTTTAGTCCCTGGTACATAGAGGTTGCTCAGTAAATTTCCTTTTTCATGTTTCTTTTGTTCTATTTTTAATTTTATTTAGAACAGCTGTTCCAAAGGATGGTATTCAAGACCCACGCAGGGGGTGTGCACAATCAAAGCTGGGCATTATTGGCCCTTCTGCTATGTTGGAACTTGCACCAACGGTTCAAAAATAGTGGTGGTTAAAATAGCTGGGGCCTGAGCACCAATCAAGGCAGAAGTACCCAACTATGCATGGGGCCATTATATTCTTCTGCACACACTGCAGAAAGGAAACAACAACAACAAAAACAAAAAAACAACAAAAAACCCAGCCAGTTTCACGTAAGAATGTCCTGAAAAAAGTAGTATAAAATTACTAATTTTATGTAATCTTGAGTACATGCTTTAAAAATATTCTGTGTGGTGAAATGGGACGTACACATTAAGTACTTCCGCTACATACCAAGGACAATGATGGTCCTGGGGAAAAGTACTTGTAAGATTGAGTTGCAAGCTGTGCTTGCTGCTACTTTTCATGGAACACCATTTTTACTTTAAAAACATGACTGACAGACAAACTAGGTATTCAGATGTGGTTTGTCACTGTAAGGGAAACAACTGATAAAATTAAAACTTTCAAGCAAAAATTAGAATATTGCAGAACTCATATCAACCACTGAACTTGACAGTTTCTCAGCACTAAAAGACTTTTTCTGATAAAATTAGTGGCGACTTTAGCAAATGTGACTTTTTAGTATTGTACGATTAATATGACAACATTTGGAAGATCTGCTTAACTGAGTGAAACAGTATTTTTCCAATGACCAATGTGTGATGTTACAAAATCATTCATGGTAAAATGTCCATTCACAGTGCAGAACAGACCAGTGGATTTTAATGTAACTGAGTTTAAAATGCCTTTGCATATAGTTTCACATTTTTATTGCAAAAATATTAAGAAACTACCACTTGTATAATTTTTGGGTCATATTGAAGAAGAATAATCACAGTTATCTGTAAAGGCAATTGAAAATCTCATCACTTTTCAGCTACCTGTATGTGTTAGACTAGATTATTTTTTACATACTTGAACCAAAACAACATATTGCAACTATTTGAATGCAGAAGCAGCTATATGAATCTAATTCAGTTCTTAAGCAAGAAATTAAAGAAATTTTCAAAAATATAAAGCAGTGTGACTCTGTGCTATTTTACTCCCATTATGGAAATACAGTTATTTCCATGTGTTAACATGTTATGTGTGTTTAAAAAATGTCTGTTTAAATTTACTTAAATTTAAAATACAGTAAATAGCATAGGTATAACCCACATAAACAGAAGCTCTTTGGTGTCCCCAGTAATAGCAGTGTAAAGATGTTCTGAAGCCACAAAGTGTGGTAACCACTTACATAGAACATCCTTTCCTTGTCTGGTCATTCCTTTAATGTATGCCTAATGCCCACAAATGCATTATTGTCCCTCCCTCTGTTTGTTCCTTACTGGGATAATATTCCTTCACTTTTGTGCCCAAATGAATTATTTTGATCTTTAAATAGTCAACTAAAACTTCTTTTTCCAGATTTCCCCTATTTTCTGCCATAATAATTTGTACAAGTGCTTATTATAAAACTTGCTGCATGTAATAATCTGTTCACATAGCTGATGCTTCACTGGACTGTGAGATCTTAAAGGACAGACACTCTTTTAGTCATTAATGCATCAGGACCTGGAAAAAGGTCCAGATCCCCGTAAGCACTCCACTGAAATTTTGTTCTTGAAAGACTGAGTTTTTCAGCTTCAGAACTCCATGCTCTTTTGCTCCCTTGCCATAGAGCACAGTAAGCAAGATGCCAGGAATGGAGGCTCATGGCCAGGCTTCAAAGAGAAAGCAATCAGAAGGAGAAAAGCCATATTTTGGCTCTAGGGATTCTGGAGATCCTCAAAGATTTCCAGCATTTCTCAGGTGCCTGTGGTAGGCAACATCCACTTTCCATTGACAGCTTCTACCCATAAAATTACAACAAACAAGAGCTATCCCGAAATATTCGGAGCAGCTAATGAAAACAGGAGCTATCCTGAAACACTCAGACCAGTTTATGAAAAGATAACTGCCAACTGGCATTATCTACTGGAAGCAACACAGCCGCATGGCACGGGGGCTTTTCCAAAACTTTTCTAATTGGATGAAAGTGAGAACATTTCTCAAGATTAATAAGGGTGTCAAATCATGTCCAGCTGGCAGCCCCAGGGCCTCACCAAGTGTTTAATCACACAACATGTGAGCATAAAAGCAGCATTAAGCAGCAGCCTAGAGACCTTACTTCTAGGAAGTCAGCACCTCTTCCCAGATGCCACGTTTACTCTTACCTGTCATTACTAACCACTGTCTAAGACTGAAATTGAGAGTAAATAGCAACCTCTTTTCTGCAGAAAACCTTGTCCAAAAAAAGCAAATATTACTTACACCACAAGCAAATCTGACATCTTCCATGCTGTTCCCATCTGCTTCAGATATTCATACTGGACAGTTTTCAAATGACAGCAGATGTCCCAGCTAGAAAAAAAAATTTAATCAGCTGAAAAGTATGTCATTACCTAGCTAATTTTATAGTTTCAGAAGCCAGAAATGGTATTGCTTTTGGTTATCACCCTGATTCCTCAAATTATAATCAGCTCTTTTAAAAAATGAATGGTGTTTGCTTAGACACCTAGAGTTTATTTTATAAATACATCTTTACACATAGGTTCCAGATGAGGATGCTGCACTGAATGTTTGGTCTTTAAGTAAGCTTAGGAGAAAATTCTTCAAATCCGTAAAAAATTGTGTATAATGACAAAAGAAGGCAGTGTCAGATGTAAAAGACAATAACTTTTGATTATTTAGTGTAGCTCATGCCTAATAATCAACTATAGAAAACGTCCTCTTTCTTTCTTTTTGTTTATTTATATTTAGCCACCATTAATCAATATCTTTCATTTGTGTTTTGTGTAAAATGAAAGTGATCATCAATAGGCAAAGCTGATATATCCTCTCCTCCTTTTTTACTTGCATTAATTTGAACAATTTGGCTACAGTAAAGCGGTGAACCCCACACCTACTTGAGAACATGTAGTAGACAAAAACTGCTTAAAATGGACCGAATGTTCTTTTGGATGTTGTATTTCCTAATAACCAATTGTAATAATATGATGTCATATGGGCACTGTTGTGTAACTCAGGATAAGTTGAAAATAATCTATTGTTTTGCTATCAGGTTGTGGTCTGGGAACCAGCAGGCAGGACCACCATACATACCAGCAAAATAATGAGACTAGATGGGATATATAAAAAGAGATGAAGCCAATGAAAGGAAGTAGCTTAGTTCATATCACTTAGTAGGTACAAAATAGATAGTTCTAAGTTGCAAATTCTATCAAGCCCACAATATACAAGGTTTGATAATTCAGGTACAATATAGTGGAAGGCCCCAAATCTACCTGGTTGGGCGTGTATAAACAAAGACTGCTTAATGTCTAGCAAGTGTTCTTTCTGACATTGAGTTAAGGGTCCACTCCTTTGGAAGGATGGTGAGGAACAATGGCTTTTACCTACAGAATGGGGGAAGGTTCATTCTTAATAGACTGCTATGGGTTTTCCTCAATTCTGTATTTGTCAGTTTGGCGTCTATTTATCACAGGATCAATTATATTAGCTATATTTTCTGACTCTTTTGTATTGTCGATGATCTAGCATTTGAGGGCCTTGCAGAACAAGGAAAGACTAGCCTTCCCAGAGCTAGCTAACTCCTAAAGAGAAGAACAAACTGCCTAAGAGCACATCCATGATATGCAAAGCACTCAATCCTGAGTCTATAGTCCCAACAATCCCCTTACCTCACCCTCACACACCAAGCCAATATTTCCTCCATCCAAATCATCCTAGGGCCAGGTACAGGCCACTAGAGACCACTCCTGTAGCCCCAGTCCTGCTGGAATTCATTCAAACTAACCAACCCAAAACTCTTTTCCCTGCCCTGCCTTACATTTCCCACCAAAACCTCAATTAAGGCTCTGGTATTGACTGTTTCCTGTCTTGTCTTCTGCTACCTGATCAAAACCTGGTGCTTCCTTTGAGACACTGTATGGTGTCCAATGACCCCCTCTTCAGGTAATGTCAGAAATACGTTATCTGAAATAAGAAACACCTCAAACAGCGTTAACAACACATTAGGCACTGTGGATCAGTGAACATAAAGCCATAGCAAGATAAAGTATCAAAAATGAAGCTCCGAAAGATGAAAAAGTAAACAAAAAGTGAAACAATCGTCAGTGAGCTGTGGTATATCAAGCAGGTAATCATTTATAAAATTAGAATACCAGCATAAGAGGCAGAGGAAATATAGTTTTAAAAATAATGCTCCCAAATTTACAAGATTAATAAAAACTGTAAAACTACAGATTCGAGATGCTCTAGTGAAACAGGATAGTTTTCTGACCCCTTTGCAGGCAGGAACTGGAGTACATGAGTGCTGGAGTCAGCTGGTCATTCTGGCACCAGCAGGGAGAGACTCCACCCACCCGAACCTGCTGTGTTCCACCCCTCATGGGAGGGAAGACACAGGTGAGCAGGTGCAGGACCTGGGGCAAGTGCTTTTGGGTGCCGGCTTGAGCCAACTCTGTAGCAGCCCTGCAGCAGCATCTGGGAGGTACCTGCGCCTCCTGAGGCCCCAGAGGAAGTGTTACAGTGCTCTTTTAGCTTGGCCATCCATGGACAACTTAACTGACAACAGCTCAGTGGACCCTCTGCCTTTTCATGTGAGGCAGCTGCCTTCCACCAGCGAGAGCAAAGGGTTAGTGTGAGAGCCTTTTGCATCCACATTCTTGGCCCCTGAGTTCTTGTCCAACATCCAGGAAGAATGAGGTTGCACAAACGAATTGAAGATGGTAAATATGAGGGATTTTATTGCTGATGAAAATGGCTATCAGCAGAAAGAGGAGCTGAAAAGGGGACGGAGTAGGAAGGTAATCTTCCCCTGAAGTCCGGCTGTCCCCAGCCAGACTCCTCTCTGAAGCTATGCCATCAAACTGTCCCTCTCAAGTCAAGCTACTTCTCTCTGGCATCCAACCGTAGCGTCTGATGTCCAGTGACTTCTCTTCTCTGCCAACTGAGTTCTGGGATTTTTATGGGCACAAGATGAGGGGTGGGGCAGGCCATGGATGGTTTTGGAAAAGGCAACATTCGTGTGGGAAAACAGGGATATAAGTTTTCACTTTGGGCTGTGGTATCACACTTGAGGGTGGGATTTTTTCAGGGACCCGCCCTTTTCTACCTAGAATTTCCCTGCCTCCTGCCTCTATCATTGTATCACTGGGACCTCCAGGTGCAATAATTGTCTTCCTTCCAAGCCTCATTCTCAGTTTCTCCTGTGGCCTCACTAACTTTCCTATTCTATATCAAACATTTACATGCTTAGAATAAGACTAATAATATGTGTCCACTTATGGTGAACAAAATACACCCACCCACTCCCCCCACAACAAGAGAAGTTAATGCCCTAATCCCTGGAAACTTCAAATATGTTACCTTACAGGGCAAAAAGGACTTAGCAAATATAAATAAGGTCACAGACCTTAAAATAGGGAGAAAATCCTGGATTCTCCAGGTAGGCCATATTTAATCTGTGGAGTCATCAGAAACAGAGAACTTTCTCTGGTTCTCTGGAGTAGAAGAGACACAGCAAAAGAGGAAGTCAGAGAAATCCAAAGCATGAAGAGAACTCAGCCCTGTGCCATTGCTTGTCTGAAGATGGAGAGGTCAATGGGACAAGGAATGCAGGCTGCCTGGAGGAGCTGGGAGAGACTCCCATGTGACAACAGCAGGCAAAAAAAAAAAAATGGAACCTCAGCCTTATAACTGCAAGGAACTGAATTCTGCCAACAACCTGAATGAGCAGCTTGGAAGTGGATTCTCCCCAAGAGCCTCCAGATAAGAGCCCAGGCTGGCTGACATCCAGAGTAAGGAAATCAGTCAAGCCAATGCAGACCTCTGACCTGCAAAGTTCTGAGATTGTACATTCATGTTGTTTTAAGCTTCTAAATTTGTAGTAATTTGATACAATAGCAATAGACAATGATATGCCATTCTTAAAGGCAAAAACAAAAACAAAGAAATCCAACAACTCCAGGGCAGGCAAATCCTATGTTTCTCTTAAGGGTCATGGTTTCTTTGGGAATTATGCTTTAATTTCTAGGCATAAGAACAATATTATTTTCTTATTGGGTACCATTGCACACATTTAGAAAAAGAAGAAATGAATATGGAATATTGATGTGGTCAATGATCTTGTCTGTTATTAGATCACATTTCCAGTGGGCAGTGTGGAAGGAGGTATTGTGAGATAATAAAACCCTGATTAGTATATGAATATAATATTTACACAAAAGTTATCATTAAGGTGCAATCTCAGTGTAAATTGGAGACTAGACTGTGCCCTACCACATGAAAATGGGATATGGGCTGTAAGCTTTTATATTTCTTTGTGGCAGACACCATAATCCCATTCAGCTTCTGTATATGAAAAGTTTAAGAAGTAGAATTAGGTATGAAGACATTAAGTAAGTAAAGTGACAAAGCATTATTAGGATGCTCAAAGGGTGTTTCTCAGTGGTGAGAAGGGGATGAGTTTCAGCCAGGGATAGAGTGGAAAAGCAGACAGCCCAGTTATAACCTACGAGTCTCTTTTTTTTGGCTAGAATGGAATATACCTCCCACACCGTCAGAAATTCAAATATAACTTTTGATTCCCCTAAAGCTTTACTAATAGCCTACTGTTGACCAGATGACTTGCCAATAACATAGTCAATTAACACATATTTTTATGTGTTATGCATCGTATACTATATTTTTACAAAAATGTAAGCTAGAGAAAAGAAAATGTTACCAAGAATATCCCAAGGAAGGGAAAATACACTTACCATTCGTTAAGTAGAAGTTGAGCATCCTAAAGGTCTTCATCCTCCTTGTCTTGACATTGAGAAGGCTGAGAAGGAGGAGGAAGAGGAGGGGTTGATCTTGCTGTCTCAGAGGTGGCAGAGGCAGAAGAAAATCTGCATGTAAGTGGGCCTGCACTTTCAAACCTGTGTTGTTCCGAGGGTCAACTGTGTATATATTTTCAAAGATTTACTTTGAAAATCCTTTGTAAACTATTTGTATTGTTTTCTATGGTTTTCTTTTTTTCTTCCTTTTTGTTATTAATGAATTTTCCATTTAAAAATACCTTTTGGTGGCTGGGCACGGTGGCTCACACCTGTAATCCCAGCACTTTGGGAAGCCGAGGCGGGTGGATCATCTGAGGTCAGGAGTTCGAGACCAGCCTGGCCAACATGGCGAAACCCCATCTCTACTAAAAATACAAAAATTAGCTGGGTGCGGTGGCGGGCACCTGTAATCCCCAGCTACTCGGGAGGCTGAGGCAAGAGAATCAGTTGAACTTGGGAGGCAGAGATTGAGGTGAAGTCGTGCCACTGCACTCCAGCCTGGGCCACAGAGTGAGACTCCGTCTCAAAAAAAAAAAAGTAAAGCAATTTTCAGTGAGCTGTGGCATATAAAACAGGCAATCATTTATGAAGCTGGAGTACCAGCATGAAAGGTTAAGAAAATATAGTTTTAAAAATAATGGTCCCAAATTTACCAAGGTTAATAAAAACTGTAAAACCACAGATTCAAGAAGCTCAGAAACTCTATATAGAAAAATAACAACAAATTCAGGAGAATCACAATCAAATTTCTAAAAACTAGCAATAAAGAGAAAAGTCTTACATGTAGCTCAAGGAAAAGGACATATTACAGAAAGGGAACAGAGTTATGAATGAGAGCAGACTTATCAGGAACTAAGCAAGCCAACAGAAAATTGGGTGACACTTTCACAGTATTGAAGGAAAAATATTAACAATATGCATTGTGGGCTGTATAGCAAATATAAAAATAAAATATGCAACATAATAATACAAAAGATAGGATAGGGTGCATGGAAGTATACCATCATAAGGTTCCTAAACTGTAGTGAAATGGCTTAATATTATTTGAAGGTGGATTATGATAAGTTAAAGATGTATATTATAAACCCCAGTGCAGCTATAAAAAATAAAACGAGAAGATCTAACTAGTGAGCCCCTAGTGGAAGTAAAATGAAATCACAAAAATTACCCAATTAATCCAAAGGAAGGCAGGAACAGTGAAAAAATAAAAATTGGGCCAATAGAAAACAAATGGCGATACGATAGATTTAAATTCAATTGTATTGATAATTAAATTATATTTAAATGATTTAAATGCGCTAATTAAAAGTAGAGATTGTACGATTAGATAAGAAAGAAGTTACAAATATATGTTACCTGCAAGAAACCCAATTTATAAAGACAAAGGTAGGCTAAAAATGAATGAAAGGAAAACGAAACGTGCACACACTAATGAAAATCGGTTAGCTATATTATTATCAGACAAAACTATTTCTGTTGTATTTTCCTCTAGTTTGATCTTGAGTTCTTTCTGGAGAGTGGCAGTAAACTCTAGCCCTATGCAGAGCGTTTAGAATTTAGCCATGGAGGAGTGTACCTTTGTAGGATACTTCTTTATTCTGGTGCATGGCCTAATGCCCGTGTCTGACCAATGACCAGGCGTCTCTTTCATAGGAAGCTTGTTTAAACTGGCAGACCCTCTGGTGGCTCTTGTCCTAGCCACTCTCTGAAAGAGTCCTGACCCAGAGAAGCTATGTCTGGGTGTGTGTGTTAGGTGAGACACAGAGGGGGGCAACTGAACAAAACACATGAAATAACAGAAGCAGGGTCTTCCTTACAGATCCCAGCCAGCAGAGGGCAGCACATCTTGCAAGGCAACAGGAAGAGGGGCGCTGTCTGAGACACAGGCCCTCAACCATTGAGTGGGGAGCAAGAGAGAGAGCAAGGGACTACAACTTTATTGGGATCCCGGGCATTATCCAAGCAGGTAACTACCCATGCATGGGAGTTCTTTTTTTTTTTTTTTTTTTTTTTTTTTTTTTTTTTTTTTTTTTTTTGAGACGGAATCTCGCTTTTTGGCCCAGGCCAGAGTGCAGTGGCGCTATCTCGGCTCACTGCAAGCTCCGCCTCCCGGGTTCACGCCATTTTCCTGCCTCAACCTCCCGTGTAGCTGGGACTACAGGCGCCCGCCACGGCGCCTGGCTAATTTTTTGTATTTTTAGTAGAGACGGGGTTTCACCGTGTTAGCCAGGATGGTCTCGATCTCCTGACCTCATGATCCGCCTGCCTCGGCCTCCCAAAGTGCTGGGATTACAGGCGTGAGCCACTGCCCCCGGCCGCATGGGGAGTTCTAATTGGTGAGTTTCCATCAAGCCTGCACGAGCTCCATGGAGTCACAGTGTGATTGAGGGTGGTTACTGTGGCAAAACTCTACAGTCCATGTCAGGTATGGGGATCAGTGGGTCAAGTCAAGTAGGTTGTATCTAGCTCTCCCACAGAAAGGTGGTCACCACGAAGTGGTTGTATAAGGCAGATAACTTGAGGAACTGAGAATGTCAAGTATAGTCATATGCTTCATCTCAGTCAATGATGGACTGCATATGTAACAGTGGTCTCAAGATTATACATACAGTATAAAATACATTTTACTATACCTTTTCTGGGTTTAGATACACAAACACTTACCATTGTGTTACAGTTGCCTACAGTATTCAGTACAGTAACATGACATACAGGTTTGTAGCCCAGGAGCAATAGGCTATGCCATATAGCTTAGGTGTGTATTAGGCCATACCATCTAGGTTTGTGTATACTCTATGATGTTTGCATAACAACAAAATCACCCAACGACACGTTTCTCAGAAAGGATTCCTGTTTTAAGCAGCGGATGGCTGTATTTGTGTATGAAATATCTAAACATAGAATAGGTGATGAATTGCATTACTAAGTTATGATAGCTATTACATCAACAGGTAATAGGAATTTCCAGCTCTGTTTTAATCTTATGGGACCACTGTTGTGTATGTTGTCTATTGTTGACTGAAACGTCATTATGTGGTACATGACTGTGTTTTGGATTTTCTCAATAATCCACAAATAAGGAGGTATATAGTTTTTTCAGTGGTTTTATCTTTTTATCATATCTCAGTGGCTAGGACTTCCTATACAAAGCTGAATATAATTGGTGAGAATAGGCATCCTTGTCTCATTTCCAATATAATGAAGAAAAATTATTTTATTATTGGCACAATGTTTGTTATAGAGTTTGTGGTGGTTCATCGTTATCACAATAAAGGAGATCCCTTTATTTCTGATTTGTTAAGAAATTTTATTATAAATATGCACTAAATTTTATCAATAATTTTTTGCATCTATTAGAAAATCTATATGATTTTTGTCCTTTCTGTTTTACGGTGTGAAATTACACCGATTACCTTCCAATGTCAAACCAATCTCTTGTAGAAAAGGAAGAGAAGGCATAAAGCATGATGGTGTCAGAGGAAAATAAAAATAAAAAAAGACTAGAGCTAGAGATCTGTCTATCTATCTGTCTATCTAGAAGTAAAACCACATGGTAGTAGACAGTAGAGAGAACCCATGGAAAGGCTGAAACAGAACCAGTTCTAAAACCAATCCTGTTAAGTTTCAGTTATAACTCGGTAATCTATCTTGCAGTTAATGCAGTCCTGCTATTTGGAATGCACACATATTAATTTAATTTTATTTTATAACATTTTATTCAACATATATTTACTGAATACATACTAACTACCATGTCCTTTGTTAAAAGTGATGGTTTCTGCCGAAACAACTTTCCTCTGAGAAAAGATATCATGCAAATCACATAATCATGTAAGCAAAGGTAAAATTGCAGTTGAGACACGTGGTCACAATATGCTACACTGAGGGCTACACAGAGCAATTTGAGCCCATAGTGGGTGATTTCAACTGGTTTGAAGGTTAAGGAAGGCTTTAACAGAGAAAGAGGTATTTGAATTGAGATCAGAAGTATGGGCAGGTATTAACTAAGTCAAGAGAGGAGGGTAAATATTGCAGACATGGGGGATAGCATATTCAATGACCCCGTGAGGGAGAAATGTCAAAAAAAAAAAAGCGGGGGTAAGTGATGAAGTAAATAATGTGACTGAATCAGAGAGAACAAAGTTGCATGTTTTCAGCTAATGCTAATGAGGAAAGTAGGGACTAGATCATGTGGGGGTTCATAGGCAAAGTTAAGACTTTTTTGCATGCCAAATTGCACTGGAAAGCCTTTGATAGATTTGAAAAGAGGTGTATCATCATCAGATTTATGTTTTGAAAAGATGATTCTGATTGAATTGTGGAGTAAATTTAGTTAGGCATTCAAACTGGTTGTGTGTAGACAGTAAAGAAGCTATTTCTAGAGTTGAAGCCACGGAACACAGACATTTATAGTAGGTGATGTGGAAATGGAGAGAATGGGGTGGATGCTCAAGGTACATTGGGGTAAGAGCAATAGCACTTGGTGGAGGATTTATGTTGATGTGAGTTTCTGGCTTGCACAAGAATCGTTTTTCATGGACACAGGGAACTTTAGAAGAACTCCAGATTTGGAGTGAGGGGTGATGATGGGTTTGATTTTGGACATGCTGAATTTGACATGCTGATGTCACTTCACACAAGGCATATCAAATATGCAGTTCATTAATGTGTCTGATGGTCCAAAGAGAGGTCTGGGCTTGGAATAAAAATAAATGTGAGTCATTTATGTAGATGTGGTAATTGAAGCTACAGGTGCAGATGAGATCATTTACAGAAGCCGATTCGGAGTGAGATAAAAAGAGATTATAGAAACTAGACTTGTAGATCTTTAGCATCCAAAGGCCAGTTAGGGAAGCATGAACCTTAAAAATAGAAAGAGAAGAAATAACCAGAAAGGTCAGAAGAAAACCAGAAGAACGTGTTATCAGAAACCAAAGGGGGAATATTTCAATCATTGAATGAAGACAAAACAACAGGGTTGAATTTTGATGACAAAAAGTGAAGTTGGATCATATTGGTCAATATTTTAAAGTATTTATTATGTATTAGACACTGTTTAGAGAGTTTTTATTTGCATCAATTCTTTTAATCCTCACCAATGCTCCACACCCAGTAATCCAGAGCTTTCACATTATAATAAAATATTGTTTGGTGTTTTTTGTGACATATAGTTATTGGCCATCTTTGCTAGCACTCTTTTAGTGGATTGGTGGATTTAAAAACCTGTTTCAATGAATTAAGAAGTGATTCACAGGCAAAAACTGGGAGGCAAGTAATATAGACAACTCACATGAAGGTTGACTATAAAAGGATTGAGGAGATGAGTAATAGATGTTGAAATCTAAGACATTATTTTTATTTATTTGTCTGTTTAAAGCCAGTGGGTCCTGACCAAGGTAATGAGCTAGTTTGCATTCTCTCTCCTTCCCACGTGATTTGCCCTGAGGAAGTAGAAAGGAGAAACAGAGAAAATGTCAGAAATATGTGGTGGTGGTAGTGGTGGTGGTGATGGTGTGTTTGTGTGTGTGTGTGTGTGTGTGTGTGTGTGTTGTTTGTGTGTGTATTTAGAGAGACAGAGAAAGAAAGAGAAAGATTTTATGTACATATTTATAGAGTATCGGCTTTGTCTTGGGGCAGGAGTCAACCCTGCACTTCTGTGTTGTATAAAATAAAAGAATTTTTGGAAGCATTTGTTTCTCCTCTGACCCTGCCTTGGAACAAATAAGACTGGCCTCTACATTTGCTCTAAACAACTCTAGTCCACGTGTCCTCAGGAATAAACTTAGCATGGTGCAGAAGCCCTCATTTTCTCACTGTGAGAAAATGAGAAAAACCAGAAAACCAGTAGTCAATAACTATATACAATTGCTTTCTGACTCTCTTCTTCTCCAAACTGGAGGATTTTAATCTAGCCTGAGCTACCTGAAATGTGGTCTAGGACCAGCAACATATAAGCACCATCTAGGAGGTTGTAGAAATGCAGAATCTCAGGCTTCACCAGGGCCTCCTGGAGTAAAATCTGCATTTTCTCCTGGTGCCATAGGGATTTACTTGCCTCTGGTGAAGCACAGGTCTAAGGAGTAATCCTCCTGTGGCTGCTTCTTCCTGTGGGAGCAAAGGATGGAACTGGACCTAAGAGTTTTTACAGAATATAAGTATTTCTCTGGTAGGTCATGTGTACTTAGCGGTATACACAGGTACATAAGGGTACCATTGGGCTCATCTGTCCCATACATATGCTTGAAAGAGTAGCTGCCATAATTTCTTGTTTCAAATTTTCTTATGTCTCTTAATATGTTTGTTAAGATAATCTGAAGTTGCTGGTCTCTTTCCTGCAGCTATTCAGGCAATAATTCCAGAGTAAATCTTTCCCCGTTCCATAGAAACACAGACACGTATTTCCGCAGATTCCACACTTTATCTCCTGGGATAAAAATGTGCTGATGGGTCAAAATAACAAGACATTGGAGGAGCACAATCAGTTAAAAATAGTGCTGGATTACAAATTTGAACAGAAGCAGAAATATTAGAACAGATGGACTATGTGTTTTTAAAATAGAATTGAAAGAGCATAAAAGAGATTTATGCATTCAACAATGAAAGAATGCACATTTTATTTTAAGCACACATGGAATATTTATGAAATTGATTAGGTATTAAGACATAAAAGCAATTTATATTTCAGAAAATAAATTTCATACAGATCATCACTTTTGATCACAAAATAATTGAGAATTTAAAAATAAAAATTAAACTTAAAAAATCACTGAATATTTAGGAAGAAAAAGAAAGCTCTTAACTAAGGCATGAATTTAAGAAGAAATCATCATGAAAATTAAAAAATATTTAAAACTGAATGATAATTAAAATTGTGTGCATCGGCCGGGCGCGGTGGCTCATGCCTGTAATCTCAGCACTTTGGGAGGCCGAGGCGGGCGGATCATGAGGTCAAGAGATCTAGACCTTCCTGGCTAACATGGTGAAACCCTGTCTCTACTAAAAATACAAAAACTTAGGCGGGCGTGGTGGTGGGCGCCTGTAGTCCCAGCTGCTCAGGAGGCTGAGGCAGGAGAATGGCGTGAACCTGGAATGCGGAGCTTGCAGTGAGCCGAGATCGTGCCACTGCACTCCAGCCTGAGCAACAGAGCGAGACTCCATCTCAAAAAACAAACAAACAAACAAACAAAACCTGTATGCATCAAAATTGGGAAGGGCTATAAAGTAGTATGAAGATAGAAAGTTATAGCTCTAAATACTTTATAAAGTAAAGAAGAAAGCCTCCAAGTTAGCTGTGTCTATATTTAAGTTTACATGGAAAATCATAAAGAATACACAGATATGTTATTTGAAAGAATGAGAGTTTGCAATATTGGTAGGATATATGATTAATATAGAAACACTAATAAACTTATGTATATATCAGCATCAAACTACTAGAAAGTATAATTAAAAAGGAGGCACCATTATGCAACTACAACTTAATATGAAATACCCAGGAATTAATTTAACAAAATATGTTGAAGACCTTTCCTGTGGAAAATTATAAAAGCATTATTGGGAGATACAAAAGGATTATTGAGAAAAAGACTAAATAAATTGAGAGGTAAGCGATGTATATATATATATATATATATATATATATACATATATATATATATACATATATATATATACACATATATGTGTGTGTATATATATATATATAAAGACTTTAAATTATAGAGATCCTGTTTCTTTTTAAATTGATCTCTGGACTCAATGCAATTTGAAACAGGATTTGTCAGGGAATTTAAGAAGATAATTGTAGAATGGCCTAGAAGTAAGAGAGGAAGAGAGTGTGTGTGGAAGAATTAGAACAGTTACCATGACTTTTATGAAGTGGTGGCAAATATGACAGTGTGGTTTTGGCTCACAATAAGCAAACTCTGCACCATAATGGATTCCAGAAAATGACCAATGCATGTATGTATTGAGTTGTATTGAGTAGGAAGAAATAATTTACATGAAAAAAGTTGAAACTGGATTTCTACCTCACACCATTTAGAACCGTCTCCTCTATATAGATTTAGGAATAAATGTAAAAAATATAACATTCAAGCACTGAAAAAAAGTGAGTACTTTTAGACTTCAGTATATGAGCAGTGTCAAACAAGGCATAAAAAGAATTTTCTTTAAAATGGAAGATTACTAAACTTAAAATATTAAAATTAATCCCTTTTCTATATCCAAGGTTAATTTTGAAATTAAGTGAATTTCAACTCTAAGTTGCAAACTCAAAAAATATTCAAAACACACACAATTAAATGAGTATTGACAAAATATAAGCACAAATAATGCAACAGCAACATTGGCGGAAGATATAAACAGACATTTCACCAAAAATATATGTTAAGAAATGTATGGAGAAAAGTTAATATTATTGGTCATGAGGGGAATGCAATTCAAGACTGCAATTATATATGATTTTATGGCCATCCTATTGGAAAAAATGAGAAATTATGTCCATACCAAGCATAGGAAAAGATGTGGATCCACAGGATCTGCTGTTGGGAAAGTGGATAGATGCAGCCACTATGAAAACATTTTGAAGTTGCTGCCTAAAGTCAGGATTCACATATGCTATGGTTTAACCATTCCATATCTGGGAACATATTCAAGAGAAATTCTTGCATATGCTGATAGGAGATATATAAGAATGTTGATAGAAATGTTTTTATAATGGCAAAAACCTATAAGTAACTTCATTCTTCTAAATGGAAAAATGGAAGAATAAAAATGTGATAAATTCTTACAATGGAATATTATACAGGTAGTCAATATGTGTAAGCTACAATGAAACACAATAAAATACTAGCTCCATAATTTAAGTGGAGGAGGCATTGGACTTGAACTACATCTTAGACCAAATGGACTAATAGACAAATACAGGATATTCCAACTAATGGCAGCAGCATACACATTCTTCTCAAGTGCACCTGAAACATTCGCTAAGACTGATCATATGTTGGGTCACAAAACAAGCCTTAACAAATTTAAGAAGATTGAAATCATATCAAGTATATTTTCTAACCACAATGACATGAAACTAGAAATCAACAACAAAAAGAAATTAGGAAAATTCACACATACATGGGAATTAAAAACATGCTCCTTAACAGCAGATGGGTCAAAGAAGAAATTAAAAGGGAAATTTAAAAATACCTTAGGACTAACAGAAATGTGAACACAACAAGACAATTTATGGGATGCAGCAAAAACAGTTTGAAGAGGGAAGCTTATAGCTGTAAACACCTACATCAAAAAGAAAGAAAGCTCTAAAACAACATAACACTATACTTCAATGAACTAGAAAAAAAACAAACTAAACCCAAGTTAGTAGAAAGACTGAAACAAGAAAGATAAGAGCAGAAATAAATAAATAAATAGAAACAGCAGAAAAGCTCAATGAAATGAAACATATGTTTTCAAACCTAAACAAGATGGATAAAACTTTAGTTGGACTAAGAAACAAAAAGAGAAGAGACACAAATAAAATCAGAAATATATGAGGAGACATTGCAAATGATACCACAAGAATACAAAGAATCCTAAGACACTACTATGAACAATTATTAGTTAACTTAGAATAAATGAATAAATTCCTAAAAATATGCAACCTACCAAAACTGAATCATGAAGAAATTTGAACTGACCAAAATGGGTAAGAAGATCAATCAGTAATAAAAACCACCATCAAGGAAAAGCCCTGGACTAGATGGCTTAAACTGTTAAAGAACTAATGCTAATCCTTCTCAAAGTGTTCCAGAAAATTTAAGAGGGGGAAATACTTCCAAACTGTTTTTATAAGGCCTGTATTACCCTGATACCAAAGCCAGACCAGGACACTACAAGAAAAGAAAATTACAACCTAATGTCCCTGATGAACATAGATCCAAAAATCATTAGCAACAATAGTAAATAGAATTTGCCAGCACGTTAAAAGGATCATTTGCCAAGATCAAGTGGGATTTATTCCTGGGAGGTAAGGAGAGTTAAACGTACCCAAACCAATAAATGTGATGCCACATTTACAGAATAAAGGGCAAAATTATATGATCATCTTAGTGGATGCAGAAAAAGCATTTGACAAAATTCAACATCCTTTCATGATAAAAACTGTCAACAAATTATGTACAGAATGAATGTAACTTAATACCATAAAGGCCATATACAACAAGCCCACAGATAGCATCGTACTTAATGGTGAAAAGTTGAAAGCTTTTCCTCTAAGATCAGGATCAAGATAAGGATGCCCACTCTCACCACTTCTATTCAATGTAGTACTGGATGTCCTAGTCACAACAATTAGGCAAAACAAACAAACAAACAAAGACATCCAAATCAGAAAGGAAAAAAAAATTGTCTCTGTTTGCAGATGACATAATCTTGTATATAGAAAATGCTAAAGACTCCTCCAAAAAGCTGCTAGAACTAATAAATGAATGTTGCAAGTTACAACAACATACAAAACTTGCAGCATTTCTATGCACTAACTGCAAACTATCTGAAAAAGAAATCAATAACTATTTAAAATAGCTAAAAATAATTAGAAATAAATTTAACCAAAGAGGTGAAAGATAATGTGTACTGAAAAATTGTAACACATTGATGAAAGAAATTAAAGAAGACACCAATAAATGGAAGAATATACCACGCTCTTGGACTAGTAGAATTAATATTATTAAGATGTCTTTATTACCCCAAGGGATCTACAGATTAATTGCAATCTCTATCAATATTCCAAAAAGATTTTCATGAAAATAGAAAAAAATTCTAAAGTTTGTATAGAACCACAAACGACCCTAAATAGTCAAAGCAATCTCAAGCAAAAAGAACAAAGCTGGAAGCATCTCATTACCTGATCTCAAAATCTACTACAAAGCCATAGTAATCAAAACAGCATTATACTGGCATAAATAAAAACAGATGACTAGGCCAGTGGAACAGGATAGAGAGCCCAGAAATAAACCCATGCATTTATAGTCAATTTTAGTGTTTACAAGTAAACTTGTATTGGCACACAGTCATGGCCATTCATTTACTTATTTTTTATGGCTGCTTCCCACCACTATGGAGTAGTTGCAACAGAGACTCTGTGGCCTGCAAAACCCCAGGTATTACTCTCTTGCCTTTTTACAGAGAAAATTTGCCTATCCTTGATTGAGGGGATTCAAATTTCAGATATTGTGCATAGAAAAGATTACATTTTTAATCAAGCTTTCTTAGGACAAAAATATGTCACTTAAAAGATTGAAGGTATCCCATTATTTCCTTGTGGAATGCCCTTTTATTCCTTAGGTTGCTGAGCTTCAATATCAGGGTCTCTTGGCTACTTTATGTTTCAGACTTGAAAATTATGATGGTGGGTTTGTTCTTATAATTTTATATAGATACTTCCTGAATCAATTTCTCCAACCCAAATGTTTGTATCTGTTTTTAACCACCTTCCCACTCACATCATTACACAATAAATTCTTCCTCTTTTAGCTATAATTATTACCATCCAAATGTAGCTCCATTTCACAATGCATGTTATCCTGTTATCCATCATCAACTCGGCGGTCCTATCTCGTCCATCAATTTTGTTTTTTTTTTTAAGAGGATCTGGCTCTGTTGCCCAGGCTGGAGTGCTGTGGTGCAATCTCAGCTCACTGCAGCCTCCACCTCCTGGGCTCAAACAGTCTTCCTACTGCAGTCTCCTGAGTAGCTGGGACTACAGGTGTGTGCCACCGTGCTCAGCTAATCAAAATTTTTATTCAACACTAAATTTACATATAAATGTTTCTCTTTTTTCACATCCTTTTACAAATTTTTATTTTTATTTTTTAATTTTTTGGGAGATAGAGTCTCGCTCTTTTGTCCAGGCTGCAGTGCAGTGGCACAATCTTGGCTCACTGCAACCTCTGCCTCCCCAGTTCAAGCAATTCTCCTGACTCAGGCTCCTGAGTAGCTGGGACTACAGGCGCCTGCCACCACGCCTGGCTAATTTTTGTATTTTTTAGTAGAGACAGGATTTCACCATATTGGCCAGGCTGGTCTTGAACTCCTGACCTCAAGTGATCTGCCCTCCTCGGCCTCCCAAAGTGCTGGGATTACAGGCGTGAGCCACCATGCCCGGCCTACAAGTAATTTATAACACATAAAGGATAGGGCTATAATGGTGATCACACTTTTCTTATGGGGGCTTTAACATTTGTATGATATCAGTTGCTGATTATACTCTAATCATATCCTGAAGATATTGTTCACTGACTTGTAGTCTTCGTTTAAAGAAAAATACCTAGAATAAATATTTTACTTCACACTGGAAATAGTTGAGTTTCTACGTAGCAGTTATTCTGCCCCGGTGTTATAGACACTGTTGAATGAGTACTGGATTTTAGTTCCTTTTTTGCCTTGACTGCTAAAAAGTGTATGGATATATATTCGTCTGTTAGAAAACTTCTGTTCTGATGTCTTTTCCCACTTATTTTTATTGTAACTTATTTTAGATGTATTTATAATCCACCATATAACCTTGCCATAACATGTTATGTTATAAATAAACAACTTAAAATACACAAAATAATACATTTATTGCAAGCCAATTATGTATAAAGAACTTTCTCTAGGTTATATATAATTTATTTCTCACATGCTGGTAATAATATCTATTATATATTCATGGTAACAACAAGTTTTGTGGGCCCTAAAGCTCATTTAAGAGACATTTCTAAATACAAGTAATATAAAACTATTATTTTTGCGAACATTACAAAGACATAGGACCCATGTTAACTCATTGGTAGGGCCTCATGCAGGGCCCTGGAAGGGGTAGATGCAAGCAAGAGCCCTGACTTAAGCCTCCTTAGCTTCAAGGCCAATCTGCCTCGCGTATATGGACTGCTTATGCTGTGCAGGTCACTTTTCACGCACTGTACTATGTGATGTTAGAACAAGCTTCCAGGGAAATTAGCTGAGAGAGGTAAAATGTATTTCTCAATGCCAAAGGGTTGGCGTACAGTAGATGTGTATTTGAACACTAATAAACCCATTTATTACAACTATATTTATGGGGCACCTTATCTACCAGGCATTGTCATAAGCACTGGCATGCTGTGACAACCCAGGCAGGTGTTGTCCCAATCCTAATGAAGCTTCTTGTGTGACTTCCATCATAGCAGTTGGTCATTCCACGGTTTATTTCTTCTTTAACCATCATGTTAAGAAAGAACAGTTTAACTTTGGGAGGCCGAGGTGGGCGGATCACAAGGTCAGGAGATCAAGACCATCCTGGCTAACCTGGTAAAACCGTCTCTACTAAAAATACAAAAAAATTAGCCCGGCATGGTGGTGGGCGCCTGTAGTCCCAGCTACTCGGGAGGCTGAGGCAGGAGAATGGCGTGAACCCAGGAGGCGGAAGTTGCAGTGAGCAGAGATCGCGCCATTGCACTCCAGCCTGGGTGACAGAGCGAGACTTTCTCAAAAAAAAAAAAAAAACAAAAAAAAAAACAAAAAAAAAAAACAGTTTAAGATAAATTTTAAGGATTTCTGTACATTTGAAAATTAGTGTGCCTTTTAAGTTTTACTCGCTTGACTGGAATAGCTGAAGCTCTCATTTCCTTTTGTTATTTATTGTCAACATAGATTATCACTTTATGAGTCTTTTTTGATCATTAAAAAATAGAGAAAATGGCTCCAAAAATGAATCTGTTTTGTTTTCCAAACATATTACCTTTACAATAGGACTCAGAAACTGATGGCCAGGTTGGTCTTTCTTTTACAGTTAGCTATTTTCTATGATCTTAGTCGGAGTACCTTGCAGAAAGTAGGGTTAAAGAGCTTTGGTATCTTAAATCCTGGTTTTCTGTTGCTTTCCTCATTTTAAGAGAGTTCTTAATTCAATCTTGTGAGGAAGTAGGATTAACATGCACAGTTATGCCTGGAGAGTCAAGAAACCCGCATTTCTGGATCCCCAGCTTAGACCACTGACTCACAGTTTCTAGATACAGAAGCTGCATTTCAGACCACAACCCTAGGTAATCACGGCGCATGTGGACCACACTGCACATTGTGGACAGCACAACTCCAAGACAATAATGAGATCCCAATAATTTTGATACTTCCAAGTAAAGAACAGAAGTCCATTATTTAAACTTATAATTGTTAAATTGTTTGACTTTGTAAATAGTTTTTGGAAACTGTCCCTTCCTGCCCTCTTCCTGTGTCCTTCTTCTCTCTTCACTTCCACACAGCATTCTCCCTGAATACCTCTTTTTTGCATGTTCTTCTGCCTGGAGTCACTAATCCAATGTCTTTGTTCCCCAGGAATTCATCCTTGATTCATATATTTTATCACTATTTTTGGACCTTCCTATTACATCTGTCTTCAACTACTGCTCAAACACAGGACCCAAATTTCTATCTCATACCCAGACCTCTTTTCTGAATATTGGATCCCCAGCTCTAGTCAGCTGTCTTATGGTAAGTTCAATTTGAATGGCTCCAAAGACCTCAAAGCCAACATGTCCAAAGTTGAAATTAATGTTGCCCCAACAACAAAAATACATCTGCCTTCTTCTGAATTCTCTATTTCAGTTTCAATGTATGCACCATAATGCATTCATTTGCTCAGTCCACATTCTGGGAGGTTATCCTTTCATCCTCTTTAGAAAAAATCCTTTTAGTTCTTTTCTTAAATATACATATTTTTTATATATAAGATATATAATATAGTTTATTAATGCTAATATTACTTATATAGTTTATTATAATATATAATAAACTATATATTATAAACTATGTAATATACATATAAATGATATATAATATAAACTAAATATATAAACTATGTGTGTGCATATATATATATATATATATATATAATTTTCATAGCTTCTATCACACCTTGGCCCAAGGCATCATAATTTCTTACTGATATTATTATAACGACTTCTTTTTTGTACAACCTTTTACTAGTACTGTTTTCCTCAAAACGATTCCCGCACTGCTGCCGGGTTGATCTTTCTGAAATGCAATTCTGATCACTCACTCCCTTGCTTCAAATGCCTCCATTGCTGCCAGAATGATAAAAACCCCTGGGTATGAGGTACATGCCCTACTTACTGTGAACCTGTCTGGTCTCATTTCTCATCATCCTGCCTCTGATGCAGGATGCAGCCTCGCTGAATTCCTCTAGGGTCATATGGAGAATGTACCATATTTTTAGAACTTTGCACATTCTGTTCCCGTTGCGGTGATTGTCCTTATCCCCTTCTTTGACAGAAGAACACCTACTTAGCTTTCAATCCTCAGTTCCAGAAAACCCATCGTAATTTCACCCGTTCTCTCAACTTTCCTATGTTCTCTCATCTTAATGTGATTAACTGCTGGAGGAAGTCACTTAGAGGATTTCAGGGCCGATTAAAAATATGTGGCCAGGAGGTGGCAGCAGCAAGCACGAACTTTACTTCAGTAGGCATGAAGGCAGGGAAAGTACCTCCCAGCATGATACCTCGAGAGGGTAAGGTGTGGGAGCCACCATCTAGAAAAGGAGTGGGGGAAGGGGACTCCTCGGGGTGAGGGGATCAAGAGGAGGTTTATGCATCTAGGCAAAGTTGCTCAGTAGCCTGGCAGGGCACTTCTGAGTCAGAAAGCTCCGAAGGGGAGCAGTGGTTTGGAAATTGCTCTAGTCCCATGGTTTTATCGTATCCATGGGTATGAGATACGGGTATGGGTAGCAGATATTGGGTGTAGTATTGCAGGATATAAGAAACCGGCAGATTCTAAATGGCTAAAAATCTGCTTCACTGGGTGATAGTTAAAACAATTGGATGTGTGAAAATTTGAGTTTGGTACTGGTGGGCTTTTGAGTAAATAAATGGATCTCAGGCTGCTGTGAAGAAATAAATAATCTAGTGACCAATATAGACGTACCATATTTATTTGGTGCATTTATATGACAGATGCCTCTGTGAGGCAACACTTTTACCACACTGCACTATTATTACATTTTACCTCGTTTGTGCTTCCCATAACATAGATTCCTGGAGAGAAGAGGCAAGTTTGTATTATTCTTGATATGGACTTCATCAGATCCAGAATAGTGTTTGATGAAAAGTGGAATGCTAATAAATGTTGGTTTCATGAATAATTCCATATATTATTGAACTTGTCCAGAAGCGATCATCCTACCAGGTGCTAGAAGAAAGTCTCATCTCCACAGACACACCTGATTCAAGCTAGTTTGAAGTTTGTATTCATACAGGACATAGGCAGTGATTTAATTTCAAACCTGAAATCTTTAGATTTGAGGTAATTTATTTTCTAAAATACAACCCATTTCTAGAAAAATCATAGCAAACTCAGAACGTATGGCAATAGGCCAAGGTCATCTTATTCAGATTTCAATCCTGTTATATTCTTGGAGAGATTTTTTTAAGTCATTTTCACTATAATACTTGTCTCAAAACTTGTAGGATCGGAGGATGTGCAGTCTGAGGCCCAAGTGAGTCCATGAGCATCAGCCTGGTTTGTTCATTCATTTGGGTTATGATGCTGCCTCGCTGAGCAATTCCTTATGGTAGGAGGGTCTAATAACCTTCACAGGCCACGGAGATGGAAATAAAGTGTAAAGCTGGAGAAAAAATCCAGTTGGCTACACAGGGGAACCAGAGTTATCAGAAGGGACAGTTAGTTTAAATATGGAGAAGACTCCTAACAAGAGGCTAGGTCGTGAATACAGATAAGACATTTTAAATAGCAAACATAACTCAGTTGTGTTAAATAATCGTAGAAATCGTTGGCTCCACTCAGAGACTAATAACTGAAACGTGTACAAGTGGTACAAGTTTCAGAGTAGTTTGATTAAGGCTCCAGCTCATATCTCCAATTCACTAGGCTCTTCCCTTGTTCTTGTATTCTTTTCACGTATATAATAAAATAGTTACAGTGGTTTCTGTTTCACTGCTACATATCACACCAGTCATAAAGAGGGTGAGCATCTGGGCTCCCAAACACAGAGAAAAGTCCTCAAACTTCACTCATTGCATCCGTTTAGATGATGGGGCTAACCCTAAATTTACTTTTGTCCAGGGGGAGTGGAGTGCTCTAATTGGCCTCACCTAGATCATGGGTTTCACATCAGAAAATATATATTTCTCCTACACATTATGAAATCCTCTATAGAAATCTGGCGTTATAGCTGGTGGTAGGGACAATGGACGGGGAAAGGCGACCAATAGGCCTCACCAAAGGTAGGGTGTCCTTCTGGATATTGAAGATATTTAATCTTTGTGGCAACTCAAGCAAACCAACCAAAATTTGCATAGTAAATATTTGTAGTTAGCCTCCAATTTGTTTGTTTACTTCTTATCAGCATTTCAAATGTCTTCCAAAGGCATTAATACAATCTTTTATCTTGTTTATCATGTTCATTTTCTAGGCACACTGCCTTTTATGAATCAAATTAAACTTCATTATGCGTCTAGTCTGTGCTCACATTCCAAATTTGTGTTGTCTCAACGAAGAAGACCTGGCTTTATTTGACACGCTAGATATAATATCCGAAGAACTAATAGAGTATAAAATGTAAACTGTCATGAAAATAGTGGCAATAGCTAACTAATTTCCAAACATCAGTTTTCAGCGTAAATATTCCTTTTTCAGAGAGATGTTTGCTAACCATTCTATCTAGGAGAAATCTCCTTCTATTATTCACATCAGTTCTTTATTTGTATGCTCATGCCACTCATCAGTGCCTTCTTCTCTAGATCACAAAGTAGCTACTTTGTTTCTTCCTTCTTTCCTTCCTTCCATCTTTTCCTAGAATGTAAGTTCCATCTGTCTTATCCATGGGCACATTTCTAGTAGTACTCAGCACAGTGCTTACCTTATAGGAGACACTCATGAATATTTGTTAAGTGAGCCTGTTGAATTACCTTTATTATGGTGTGTCCTGTGTGGCCCATGGCTATGTAGGTAATGGACCAAGACTCAGTTTTATAGGAGATAATTGTGCAGCAGAGGAAATCCAACCTGATGCGTGGGGCTGAGCCCCAGGAATGTGCTGCTCTTTGTATTTTGTTGTAACCAACTGAAACAGCCTTGGCTGACATTTGTAACTGTGAGCCTCTGAATAACACAAGTAAGTTCCTCCCAGGGGGGAAATCATATGCAAGAATGAAATGTATGATACATCTCGCCCAAACTGTTAACCACATATGAAAAGAAATCATCTCGGAAATTGGAAGTTTGTATTTGAATATTAGACACCTGTTTAATTATGGAGTGAAATGTCAAGGAAAAAAACCACAATTACTTTATACTCGGAACATAGAAAATATAGCCGAGATTTGACAGTCTCACTCCATCTGATTTTTCTATTCTGTCTTTCTCACTCCTGTCACATTTTATTTCACCATTTATCTGGAACAAATAAATGTGAAATTGCTTTCAACATTTTCCTGACCTTGTTCGGTAGATGAGTATTGAGGAAAAATGGGACTTTGGTTTTCTACATGGAATGAGCTTATTGTAGCTCTTTGTGTTACGGCAGTTCCTTTTAGGAGAATGTGTCACTCTTTATTGAATGCAAATGAGCTTCATGAGTAATGTTCAAATCCAAAAAAAGATGAATGCCAGTGGAAGCAGCTAGTGTCTCTCTATCCTTTTTTCTTTCATATATTTTGAGATTTTTGGATAGTAGAAAAGAAAAATGTTATTTTGAAATATCTCTTTTTTCTTGTAATGAGAGAAGAAAGCTAAATTCCCTGTATGTAAGAATATAAATTTGATAGAAGTAATAATTTTAAATTGGGCAGTAAATGAGCCAGTGATGTGGTGTTGTGGTTATTCTGCCTGAACTTAATAAGACTATGAAATAAAAATATCCTCCACATAATAAACTAAGAGAATTAAAGAAAGAGTTTTCCCTATTAATTCTAACATGAGTCATATGAACTAGTTAGGGCTTGACTATATAATTGCATTTACTAATGAAAAAGTGTCATAGCGTAAATCCCTTTACCTTTACTCTGTCTTGTATCTTTAGAATTTAGTTTCAATAACATCATAATACTTTACTCATACTAATGAGTGATAGAATAAGCATGCAAAATTGTATTTATACAATGGATTACAG
Organism: Homo sapiens; assembly: GCF_000001405.40. NCBI lineage: Eukaryota > Metazoa > Chordata > Mammalia > Primates > Hominidae > Homo > Homo sapiens. The sequence continues at coordinate 238,256,206 of NC_000001.11, forward strand.
TTTTAATTTCATTTTGTCCTCCCAGCCATTGGTAGCAGATATTATTCTTTCATTAGATTCCAAGACATTGAGAGGCAAGATGGTCAAAGACCAGCTCAAAATGACACTGGTGAATCAGTGGCAGAGATAAGGCATGAATCTAGGAGTTCTGAACATCTAGGAGTCTATTTTTCCCCCCACTACCTAAAGTGCTACTTTCCATTCATGGTGAAGTCAAATGAGTCAGAAACAGACTGAGATGCCCGTCCTCAGTGTCATACTCTGCCTGCCATGTAGATGCCTCCATTGTGGCTGTATGTTTTTATTCCAATTTGCCTTTCCTGCCTTCCATTTTCATTGTATCGTATTCTTGAACATCATTCCCTGGCCATCTGGACAGATGTCCTCCAATGGCCATAGCAGAGCCCTCATTGCCAGCTGCTGCACACCTGTTTCCTTCCCTTCTGCACTTCACCACTACAAGTAACCTTTTCATGTCTGTCCTTGACATTATTTTGATTTTTGTATTCAAGAAGCAGTAAATTATATCATAACTATCATAACACACATAAGAAAGAGGCTTTGTTCTACTCTAAAGAAACTTGTTAGATAAAATACAAAGTACTCAGGTAAATTTGAATTTCAGATAAAAAACAAAAAATGGTTTTTACTATAACAGATATTGCACAGGTCATACTTATACTAAAATATATTCATTATCTGGAATTTGAATTTAACTGTGTGTCCTATGTTATTATTATTAAATTTGGCCACCCGAACTATAAGTAGTATGAGTCTTAAGTCACCTGAGGCTTCATTTAGTAGTTTTAGTATGGGGCGATTATACAGATAGAATTGGAATATGTGCAAAAATCCACAAGTGAATATACATAAGTAGCATTTTTCATGTCAAAAAGATACTTGCTTCCGCTCCAGTGACTAAGTCTTGCAGAATTCACCAAGATCACATGTAGAGGCAAAATGCTGCCTGACAGATGGAGCATTAGCCTGCTTTCCATTATTAAACTGGGAAGTAAGTATGCTGTGGTAGTTGCAAATGTCTGCAATAAAATAAAATTATGCTCCGACATCTCAGCAGATTTCAGATGATAAAATTCATGTCATGCTGCATGGCAGCGCGGCTTTCCTGTTAACATATTAATTCTGAAAATTATTGTGTGCTTAATATCAACATCTGACTTTAATAAATAAAATCCAAGCAGCATCCCTTGAGTTTCAGGCTACACTGTATTAATCTAGCACATTCGTGTGGCACCGTCCCTGGTGTGACCTTGGGGCAGGTACTGTGGGCCATACAAGGCTGGGGTTGGCAATTGAGAAGTTTATAATTTAGATGGAACTCATAATAAAAAAATGTACAAAGTCTTTGTCAAGTAAGGTGTCAGTAAAATTCCTGATTAGATCACTTTGTCTTTTCTATATCCTGTTTCATTTTTTTGTACCTTCAATTTTGTTTATATGAGCTCTCATGTCTGTCTTCCATAGCTGTAATGTTCATTCTAACACCTAAAACGTTTATCTTCTATATAATGGCACTTGCTTCTCACTCCGATTCTGCATGTCTTTTACTGTCTTTCTAGCCATGATCGTTATCTCTTGGGCAGCTTCCAATGTGTCTTTCACTGGTGTGATGATTCTGATATTCCCTTCCACATATTCAACCATGAGGTTTGGCATGAAAGTGACATATTTATTCAGTTTATCAACTCTTAGGCTCAATAGATATTTGTAACCCATTAAAAACAACAGTACCGTATTTTTGCTTATACTATATAAACAATCTTATGATTATTACCAGGAAGATCACTGACTGGCGTGTCTTTGAGGGCATTTGTAAATGCGAATTCACATCGTTTGTTCTAAAACGTAGGAATCTGTAATTTTACTTATTAATATTGGTGCTGTTTCCTTAATGAAATTTTTAACAGATTTTTTAAATCTACCTTTTACTTGGCAATTATACAGTTAATTGCCGTCAAACCCTAGATTTGGGAGGTATCTTAATAGAAATTTGAGTCCACAGATGACAAAGCTAGGGGAATCTACTCATCATTAGTTCCATGAGGGATAAATCCTTAGTATGACTGTGTTAACCAGGGCTCTCCCTAGAAGTGGAATCAATATGTATCATATATATGACATATATTGTATAATATATTTTGTATAATACATATACATTTTAATGTATAATATGTATTATATATAAAATATACACATATAAAACATATTATATATATATATATATATAAAATGCCCTTATATATATAAAATAAGGAATCAGTTTTTAATAAGGTTCCATTGTGGAGGCTGGCAAGGCCCAAGATCTGCAGGGTGAGTCAGCCAGCTGAAGATCCAAGAGATACTGTGTTTCAGTTCAAGTGCTAAGGCAGGAGAAAAGCCCATGTCCTAGGTCAAAGGACATTAGAAACATTTCTCTCTTACTTTGGGGAGGGTCAGTCCTTTTGTTCTATTCAAGCCTTCCACTGATTGGATGAGGCCCACCCACCTTAGACAGTATAATCTGCTTTACTCAGTCTACTGATTCAAATGTCAATCTCTTCCAACAACATTCTCAAAGAAACACCCAGAATAACATTTCAATATCTGGACACCCAGTGACCCAGTGAAGCTGACACATAAATGAAATTGACCATCACAAGTACCAAAAATTCAGTTGTAAAAATGGCTGCTGGGGCTCTATTATCAGTTCCCTTCTGGGGGATTCCTTTTGCTGTATGACTTCAGCTATGGTGTACTAGAAATATTCAGCTGAATTTTGTGGAATTATACTTTACACACTAAAAGCTAAAACCAAAGCAGACAATGATTGGCCTTGCCAAATTAATCAACTAAAATGCCAAGAGAATTGGCTGTTTTTGTTTGTTTGTTTTTCTCATTTGTGGGTAGAGGAGGCAATAAATTAGATAATATGGAGATGAAATTATACATTCAGTCATCTTAATAACAGGCCCTAAATTGCCTATAACCGGTACAGTCCAGTGATGAATATGATGTAGTACTACAAAGAACACAAGAAAGTTTTGTATTAATCATGTTGTATATTTTCTACATTTGATGATGTTTTGAATCATCAAGCTGCCATTTGATAAGAAGATGAGTATGCACAGAAGGAAGCCAGATGCTATTCATCAAGACAAAGGCAGGAATAGCTCTGAAGGTATTGCAGAGATCTTTGAGATTCCCACTCCCATCTCAGGCCCAGAGTTCCAGGGCCTTGAGAGCAGAACAGTTTCAAAGGTGAGGCCCAGGGAGCCTTGTGGGACCTTGAAGCTTGCTGCCTCTAGCTGCTTCTGGGCTCTGCCCCCTGCCTTCTGATGCAGCGTTCCTTAGCAACCCCAGTTTTGGCATAAGTGTGCCCAGGTGCAGCTTGGGCAACCACTCTAGAAGGCACAGTTGGTAAACCTTGGTGGTGTCCATGTGTTGCTAACTCTTCAGGCACTCAGAGTGCACGAGCTGTGGAGGCATGGCTGTCTCTACCTAGATTTCAAAGAATGTCTCTGAGAGCCTCAGGGGCCCGGGCAGAGAACTGCCGTAGGCATGGAGCTGCCAAAGAGGGTCCCCACCAGGACACGGCCCAGAGGAGTCATGGGAGCGGGGGCAATGTTTAGTGAAGCCATGGGAGTGGGGCTGCCCCTGATCCCTGAGAACTGAAGAGGCACCAGTGTGCAATTTCAACCTGGGAGAGCGGCAAGCATATGACGAGAATGCATGAGATCTGCTGTAGGGGCTGCACCCAGCAAAGCCATAGAGATGGGGCCACTCAGAGCCTTGGGGACCAAACTCCTGCCCTAGTGTATCTAAAAAGCACGACATGGGGTTAAAGATTATTCTCAAGCCTCCAGATTTAATAATGTTTGCTGTGTTGGGTTTTAGGCTTATTTGGGACCTGTTTCCCCTTTCTTCTTCCCTATTTCTTCCTTTTGAAATAAGAATGTCTATTCTATGCCTGTCCACCATTACATTTTGAAAGCAATAGCTTGTTGAATTCACAGGTAGAGCATATGTCTCAGGACGAATCATACCTTGAATCTCACTCATACCTGATTTGGATGATATTTAGATGACACTCTGGACTTTTGACATTTGAGTTGCTGCTACAACAAGTTAAGACTTTGGGGGCCATTGGGATGGAATCAATGTGTTTTGCATGTGAGAAGGACATGAATTTTGGGATGCCAGAGGCAGAATGCTGTGGTTTAAATGTATGTGTCTACCTCAAATTTATAGGTTGGAACCAAAAACCCAAAGCCATAGTATTAAGGGATGGAGTCTTTTAAAAGAAGTTGAAGAGGGTACCCAAGTGCCTTTTGTCCTTTGCTTCCCCTCTTTCACCATGTGAGGACACAGAGCTTGCCCCTTCTGCCATGTGCAGACCCGGCAAGAAGATACCATCTCAGAAGCAGAGAAAAAGCCCTTACCAGAATCTGCAGGTACCTTAATCTTGAACTTTCCAGCCTCTAGAACTCTGAGACATAAATTTCCATTATTTATTTTATTTTATTTTATTTTTTGAGACAGAGTCTCACTCTGTCGCTCAGGATGGGGTACAGAGGTGCAATCTCAGCTCACTGCAACCTCTGCTGCCCAGGTTCAAGCGATTCTCCTGCCTCAGCCTCCTGAGTAGCTGGGATTACAGGCGCCTGCCACCACACCTGGCTAATTTTGTATTTTTAGTAGAGATGGAGTTTCACCATCTTGGCCAGGCTGGTCTTGAACTCCTCACCTCGTGAGCCACCCGCTTCGGCCTCCAAAAGTGCTGGGATTACAGGCATGAACCACCACGCCCAGCCAATTTCCATTATTTATATATTAACTAGTCCCTGGTATTTTGTTATAGCAACAGGAATAGACTAAGACACAATAAATATGTATATACAAAAAGTGTGTGTTTATGGCTGTGGATTTGTAGTGCATGATTACATAAATTTCTCCAATAATTTGAATCATGTAATATTCTTGCACTGATAAAATCCTCTTCCCCAGAATATCCAGAAAAATTAAAATACAGATCCATAATTCTTAAAAGATGTACAAATGCATTATATTACACAAAATAATACATGAATAATGTATTTGAATATTAGCCTGGGATTCCCTGAGCAACATTAGCCATCAAAATCTACTCATTTCACCCATAGATTCTCATGGCAAATTCTTTTCTCATGCAGCTTAGGAAAACTGGAACATACTTCCTTAATTTACATCTTATATCTCACAAATTTTTCCAGATTTCCACTGAATGCATTTACTTCAGTCTTTTCCAACACTATAAGTTTGTATCTTCTCCTAGACAGATCATTCTCGCTGAACCGTGTACAGGCTTTTGTGTTTAGCCAGAAGAAATCTCATGGACTGTCAATATCTCCCTCTTTCTTCCCTACTCCCACGTTCTCCTCCTTTTCTTTCCCTCACTGGCCCTTTTTTATTCTCTTTGTTCTTGGTCATCTTTTCACTTTCTTTCTTGTTTCCTTTGGATAATCTGCTGGAGAAAACAAATATGTTTCCCAGAATTGCAGACATTCTAGACCTTATTCCCTGGACCAAAGACTTTTTTTCAGTTTTTTTTTTCTGGTTCTTTCTTTCTTTTTCTCACATTCATATACCCATACCCACAAGTACGTATCACACAAACACTTACTGTTCATTTTCAATTAGTTGTATTTATTAAGAAAGCCAGGGGAGGCTGGGTGCAGTGGCTCATGCCTGTGATCCCAGCACTTTGGGAGGCCGAGGCAGGCAGATCACGAGGTCAGGAGTTTGAGACCAGCCTGGCCACCACCATCTCATGACCAGATGGCCACCCCATCTCTACCAAAACTATTAAAAAAAGTAGCTGGGTGTGGTGGTGTGTGCCTGTAATCCCATCTACTTGGGAGGCTGAGGCAGGAGAATCACTTGAACCTGGGAGGCAGAGGTTGCAGTGAGCCGAGATGGTGCCACTGCACTCCAGCCTGGATGACACAGTGAGACTCCATCTCAAGAGGGAAGGAAGGAAGCAAGCAAGCAAGCAAGCCAGGGGAAGACATAGGAAGACAGAATTTGTGGGTCCTGAAATAAAAATTTGAGGGTCCTCTATACAAATATTTAAAAAAATATAAAATTAAACATAGAAGAAGCAAATATTTATTTATATAAAAGAAAATTCAAATGAAATTGCAAATTTTGGAAAGCTGCCTAATTCCACAAACATAAAATTCAGAAAAATAACATAATTTGATCAAATGCCTAACTTATCTCTATGTACTTTTTTCTACATTTCTGGAGTGCAAGAATTTTATTGGCCACTTCATGTGACAATGATGCTGTGGTACTATTTTTAGTAGAGAGAATACGCTGGGTGTGGTGGCTCACACCTGTAATCACAGCACTTTGGGAGGCCAAGGCGTGTGGATCACCTGAGGTTGGGAGTTTGAGACCACTCTGGACAACATGGAAAAACCCCATCTCTACTAAAAATACAAAAATTAGCAGGGCCGTGGAGGCAAGTGCCTGTAATCCCAGTAACTTGGGAGGCTGAGGCAGGAGAATCACTTGAACCCAGGAGGAGGAGGTTGCAGTGAGCCGAGATCGTGCCACTTCACTCCAGCCTGGGTGACAGAGCAAGACTCCATCTCAAAAAAACAAAAACAAAAATAAAGTGGAGAGAATAAAATCAGTCTTTAACATGGTTTATCAATTATTTTTTCACTAGTGATAATTGAGAAAATTTTCACCCTAACAACTCAGTATTAGTGGTGTCAAGTTAATTTTTGGGATTGCTGTCAAATTTGGGAAAACATGTATCAAGTTTCTTTTATATATGAAGAGTAAGAGGTTTCAAGGCATTTCAAGTTTTTGTACAGAGAACACTCTCAAATAGTCTTTGAATTATCTACATTTCAAGTTTATCATTAATACCCTCATTATAGAGATATATTATACATTTTATGTTATTTTCTTCAGTCGGTATTGAAAATTAAAATTTCCACTGTGATCATATGACTCATTTCTCTCCATTAATTGGACTTGTGGAATAAGTCAAAAGCTTCTTCATTACTTTGGTTCACAATTTATCTCTTCTTTTTAATGAATTATTGTTTTTGGCAAAACCCGAAAATTTTTTTTGTTATAATTAGCTTCTTGCTATCAAACCATTTATTTTAATTTCATCACTCATCCTTGTTACCTTAATTTCACATTACATTTTTATCAAAATATTGTTTTTGTTCTTTAATAAATAAATGTAAGGATGGCAAAAGAAGGTACTTTCACAGAAGTCTTTAATTTCTTTTTTTACTTGATTTTTATTTTTACTTTTTTCTGAGATGGAGTCTCACTCTGTAGCCCAGGCTGGAGTGCAATGCCATCCGTGATCTCGGCTCACTGCAGCCTCCACCTCCCGGGTTCTGGTTCAAGCAATTCTCCTCCCTCAGCCTCCCAAGGAGCTGGGATTACAAGCACGCACCACCATGCCCAGCTAATTTTTGTATTTTTACTAGAGACAGGGTTTCACCATATTGGCCAGGCTGGTCTTGAACTCCTGACCTCATGATCCACCCGCCTCAGCCTCCCAAAGTGCTGGGATTACAGGTGTGAGCCCCCTCACCTGGCCTTTAATTTCTTTGGTTCGGGCGTGGTGGTGGCTCATGCCAGTAATCCCAGCACTATGGGAGGCTGAGACGGGCGGATCATGAGGTCAGGAGATCGAGACCATCCTGCCTAACACGGTGAAACCCCATCTCTACTAAAAATACAAGAAAAAAATTAGCCGGGCGTGATGGCGGGCGCCTGTAGTCCCAACTACTCAGGAGGCTGAGGCAGGAGAATGGCATGAACCTGGGAAGCTGAGCTTGCAGTGAGCTGAGATCACGCCACTGTATTCCAGCCTGGGTGACTGAGCGAGACTCCGTCTCAAAAAACAAAACAAAACAAAAAAAAAACCCACACAAATTGAAATACCTAAATGTCTTTCTAAATTGTAGTTTATATGGTGTATTTTCTGCTTTACTTAGCTGGATTTAAAAAAATGCTTGTGACCATTTCAAGGCCACTTAATATGAGGTAAGTGTATCAGGGAAAGTGTGAGTGGAAAGAAACTGCAGTGTTAGTCAATCGCAGAAAGTTATTTTACATTTGCAAACTTTACAAATATATGTGAGCATGGAATGTAGTGCTAAGATCTTTCCCAGGGTGTTAGAAGGAGCCTATAAAAGCTTGTGGTCCTGAGTCTAAGCTTCATTAATTTCATGAAAGAAATTTGCCTCTAGTGAGACATGGTATAAGATAACAATTTATACATGGATAATTATGTCAAAGAAAAAATTAATTCAGATATATTATTTCTTTATGTCTTAAAATGCTCCTGAGGAAAAAGAGGACACAAGTATGATTCCCATTTTAAAGTCTTAAAGGGTCTCTGGCACACAGTGTGTTGGTAGAGATGTACACTAGCAGTAAAGAAAGTTGCTGACTGCTAGCACATCTTATGTACAAAAATTAACTCAAAATACATGAACAAGTTAAAGACATAGGAGCTAAATCCATAAAAATCTTAGAAGAAGTCATAGGAGTAAATCTTCATGACTTTCTATTTGGAAATGAATTATTTGATATAATGCCAAAAACATGAAAAACAAAAGAAAAAGTAGATGAATTTGATTTTTACCAAACTTTAAAACTTTTTTGCATAACAGGACATTCTCAAGAAAGTAGAGGCATTCAACAGAATCGGGGGGATGTATTGCAAATCATATCTTATAAGGGCTTAATACCTGGAATATATGAAGACTGCTAAAACTAAACAACAAAAAGATAAACAAGCCAACTACAAAATAGGCAAAGGACTTAATAGAAATTTCTCCAAAGAAGATACACAAATGGCCAATAAGCACATGAGAAGCACTCATTAGTCATTAGGAAAATGGAAATCAAAACCACAATGAGCTACCATTTCACACACACTCTGATGACTGTAATTTAAAAAAAAAAAGAAATGAAATGTAACAACTGTTGACAAGGATGTGGAGAAATTAGGAACTTCATATACTGCTGGTGAAAAAGCTAAACAGAATTACCAGAAGACCCAGCAATTCCACTCCTAAGTATCTAGCCACAAGAATTGAAAACAGGACTTAAAGAGATAATTGTATACTAATGTTCATTGCAACATTAGACACAATAGTTAAAAGATGGAAAGCACCCTAATTCTATCAACAATTGAATGGATAAACAAAATGTAGTATATCTATAAAATGGAATATTATTCAGCCACATAAAGGAATGAAGTCCTGATATATGCTACAACATGGACAAATCTTTAAAACAAGTGAAAATGAAAGAAGCCAGACAAAAGGATAAATATCATATTCCACTTGTAAGACATATCTATAACAGGCGAATTCTGAGACTCTTAGTAGAATCAAAGTTTGCAGGGACTGTAACGAGGGGAGGATGGGGAGTAATTAATTAAGGATGACAGGATTTCTGTCTGGGGTAATGAAAAAGTTTTGAAAATAGATAGTAGTGATGGTTGCATAACATAGTGAATGTACTTAATGCCACTAAATTGTATGCTTAAAAATAGTTCAAATGGCACGTCATGTTATATATATTTTACCACATTAAAAACATTTTAAAGAGAAAATTGTGTATTAGAAATACATTAGCATGCAAAAAGCTCATATAAAAATGTACTAAAGTATCTCACTTTGTCTTTACCTTGAATTAGAACCAAATAAGAGTTTTCAGAAGACTAGACATGGTACATGGATCTTGCAAAGGTTCTCTCTGGTGGTTTCAATCATTTTGAAATCTGTGGTTGGTAGTTGACCATGGCCTGGGACTTCCTTTATTTCACATCCAGCTATTTTCATAGAACACGATATTCTTTTTGCTGCAATAGTCATAATGATTTCAGAGATGCAAATCAGATGCAAAATTTTAAATATCCTTAATTTTTTGAACCAAATTATTGCCATTTGTAGAAAATTATGTGAGTTTTTGTCTCAGAATCCACATCTGGTAATGTAATTGATGACTCACTCTAGTTTCTTTGTAAAAAATTGCAAACAAATCAGGAAATATCCTTCCTTATTTTCATTTCAGATTGGTATGCATTGTCAGAGTTAAACTTTGTATATTTGTGTATATTTATATACTTGTGACATTTACAAAATAAGGCAGCCAAAATTAATTCATATGGGCACGTCCAAACAACCACTCATTGCTTTGACTATTAAATACTTATATATGGTAATAATTACCAAATTTGTTATTTTATATATCTTGAAATTGAATATTTTATGTTTTTTATGTATTTTAAATATTTTTTCTATTTGTTATTTGGTAAGACACTATACATGTATATCCTCAATAGAAAGTCCTTTTCTCAGTTCTCTAGGCTGTGTTAGGTAAAACCATGAAAACCTACACATATTTAAACTTTTCTATTGATGGAGTTTTGGGGTTTGTTTATTCCCTTTCCATTAAAATTATAAGGTAATTGAAGTCAAGAGTGCTATGTCTGTTATTTATCTTTAAATATCTAGTGAAATCCTAGCATTAAATAGAAAACACAGGGGAGAGTTCAATATGGCTGACTAGAAGCAGATAGTGTGGGCCACCCTCATGGAGAGGAAACAAAGTTGCCAATAAGTAGTGACTCTTAAAGTGGATCGTCTGGAGACCATGTTGAGATTCACCGAGGAATCAGGGGATCCACAGAGAATAGAAAGGAGCGAAGCTGGCAGCCACCCTTCTGGGAACAGCATTAAGAATCTTTCTCAAATGTGGAAAGGGCGAGTGAGAGTCCCCAGGGGATCCACACGTCCCCACGTGGTTCTTCAAAATCCTGGACATGGGAGATCCCTCCGACAACCCTGGGCCTCTAGACTGACACAGAGAGCCTCCTGGAGTTTTTGCAGAGGCACTGCTCAGTCCCATGTGGAGCCTCACAGGTCCTGGATCTCTGAGCAGCCCAGCGCCAGCTGCCATATTCTCACTAGAGGCCGTAGTCATGGTGCCTTATTCCTCGTTGCTAGGCAAGGCTCCGCTCAAGCTTCCAGCACAGGGACCAGCTCTGCCTAATCTCTGAGGGTGGGCACAGCTCTGTGCTCCCTCGGGAACTACCTGGGTGGAAGACCATGCCATGGCCCCATTTCTGCTGCTCCAAGCCAGTTTGGGCTTCCAGCCTAGCAATTCACTGCATTAGTCCATATCCGCAATATTATAAAGTAATATCTGAGCCTGAGTCATTTATAAAGAAAAGAGCTTTAGATTCACAGCTTAATTCTACAAGACATACAAAAAAGAGCTGGTACCAATTCTATTGAATCTATTCCAAAACTCTGAGGAGGAGGGACTTCTTTCTAACTCATTCTACAGAGCCAGCATCACTCCGATACCAAAATCTGCCAGAGACAACAAACATAGAAAACTACAGGCCAATATCCTTGATGAACGTAGATGCAAAAATTCTCAACAAAATACTAGCAAAACAAATCCAGCAGCATATCAAAAAGGTAATTCACCACGGTCAAGTAGGCTTTATTCCTGGGATGCATGGTTGGGTCAACATACGTAAATCAATAAATGTGGGCCAGGCACAGTTGCTGACACCTGTAATCCCAGCACTTTTTTTAGGCAGGTGGATCACTTAAGGTCAGAAGTTTGAGACCAGCCTGGCCAACATGGTGAAACCCTGTCTCTACTAAAAATACAAAAATTAGCTGGGCGTGGTGGCAGATGCCTGTAATCCCAGCTACTTGGGAGGCTGAGGCAGGAGAATTGCTTGAACCTGGGAGGCAGAGTTTGCAGTGAGCTGAGATCATGCCACTGCATTCCAGCCTGGGCAACAAAAACGAAAATCCATCTCAAAAAAAAAAAAATGTGATTCACCACGTAAACAATTAAAAACAAATCATATGATCATCTCAATAGATGCAGAAAATGCTTTTCATAAAATGCAACATCCTTTTATGATAAAAGAAAAAACCCTCAACAAACTAGGCATAGAAAGAACATACCTCAAAATAATAAGAGCCATCTATGACAAACTCATAGCCAAGATTATACTGAATGGGCAAAAGCTGGAAGCATTCCCCTTACTAACTGGAACAAGACAATTACGCTCACTCTTACCACTTCTGTTCAACATAGCACTGGAATTCCTAGCCAGAGTCAAATTGTCTCTCTTTGCTATTTACATAATAATACACTTTAACATATATTTCTATTACCTATTATATGCTAGGACCATTATAAGTGTTACTTATATTACTCCCATAATGTCCAGCTGTTGGAAGGCTTGCTGAAGGAACAGGCTTTGTTGAGTTTTTCTGGGTTCTGCTCAGCTAGAGTGATCTTCAGGTGGCAGGTGATGTGTTCCATATTATCACAATTCTCTTTTTGCCAACTTGCAGAGAAAGCTTATATGCATGTGGGGAGTTGTGTTGGGGGCCTTAAGATCACCCCCAGGTTTGGTGATTCACTGGAAAAAGTCACAGGATGCTGCATATAGTCATACTCATGGCTAAGATTTATTACGTGAAAAGACACAAAGCAAAATCAGCAAAGAGAAAAGGCGTATGGGGAAATTCTGGAGGAAATTAGGTGCATGCTTCTTTTTTTTTCTTTTTTTTCTTTCTTTTTTTTTTTTTTTGAGACAGAGTCTTGCTCCGTCACCAGGCTGGAGTGCAGTGGTGCAATCTTGGCTCGCTGCAACCTCCGCTTCCCAGGTTCAAGCGATTCTCCTGCCTCAGCCCCCTGAGTAGCTGGGATTACAGGCGCGTGCCACTACGCCCAGCTACTTTTTCTATTTTTAGTAGAGACGGGGTTTCACCATGTTGGTCAGGCTGGTCTCAATCTTGTGACCTCATGATTCACCCACCTCGGCCTCCCAAAGTGCTGGGATTACAGGCATGAGCCACCGTGGCTGGCCAGGTGCACGCTTCTAAGAGTCCTCTCCCAGTGCAGTCATAAAGATCATGCTTACATCTTCAAACCCTGAATTGTGACAACACATGTGAAGGGTTTTCTCTTGGGGAAACTGGTTGTGTAGGCACCCTTGGAAGCATTCCAAGACTTCCAGAAGGAGACATCTAGACTCCCAGAAAGAAGGCAGTGTGCAACACAAACCACATTGTTCGCACTAACAGTTTATATATGTATATATGGTAGGTGTCATTCTCATAGGTTAGAACTTGGGAACTTTTCTGAAATCAAAGTACTCAGACATTAGCCAAGGGCTAATCTTGCCGGCAAAGGAAGACTTTCTAAATAGGTTTCTCAGAAAGGAAGACTTTCTAAACAGGTTTCTCAGGCCTTGTTGTGTTAACTCCTCTCACAGGAGTGCTACATATAACACTATGTCAAGAACCCATAAAGTGAATCAAGAATCAAAATCTCAAAATTGGAAGTAAAAGACACTTTACAGGTGGGCTTTTCAGTTATATCCTGATAATATTATCTAATTTTGTATTTTTTGTAGAATGTGGGTTGCTGTGGTAATTCTAGATAAGGTAGGCAATTGCAAACTTTTTGCAAAAGGACGCTTTTTCTTGATTACATAAACCTTTGTTTGAAGTGGATTTCGGGTATTATATCAGCACTTTCTCTGCTCTATTTTTCTCATAGTACTTATCACATTTGATGTATTCTATTTTTTACTCACTTGTTCATCTGTGTTTTGCAGTGCTGTAATTCACAAGAAACTAGACAAGTGCCTGGCCCATAGTGACAATATGTATATATAAATGCTGAATGAATGACACCACACAGTACCATGAAGGATTACAGTCCCATGTGATGATTAATTTCTGCCTACTTTATGTTATCTTAATGGTATTTAATGAATTTTTAGTTTCTTTGTCAAATTGATATTGAACTAATTTTTGAACACATGCTTTTTATGTATTTATTTTTCTATTTACTAGCTCCCCTACCTCCTAAGGCATATCAAGAGCAATGATGACAACTAATTTGTCATACCTAAGCTTCTTGAAGGCAGGAATCCTTCTATGAATCTCTAACCCCTATATCTATGTCGTCTATCTATTAAATGTATGGATAAGGTTTTCTTGTTTTTTTTTTGTTTTTTTTTGTTTTTTTTGAGACAGAGTCTCGCTCTCTTGCCCAGCCCAGGCTGGAGTGCAATGGCTCAATCTTGGCTCACTGCAACTTCCACCTCCTGGGTTCAAGCGATTCTCCTGCCGCAGCCTCCCGAGTAGCTGGGATTACAGGTGCTCGCCAGCATGCCCGACTAATTTTTGTATTTTTAGTAGACACAGAATTTCACCATGTTGGTCAGGCTGTTCTTGAACTCCTGACCTCGTGATCTGCCTGCCTCAGCCTCCCAAAGTGCTGGGATTATAGGTGTGAGCCACCGCGCCCAGACGGATAAAGTTTCTAAAAAAATTTCTCTGTGGCCTTTTGGATTACAGTTTTGAAAACCAAGTTCATCAATGTTGGCTGGTATCTTCTCTATTATTATATCCTCAGCTTCAAATAAATTGTCGGGGACATAGAGGACCCTCAGTGACATTTTCTAAAAAGGTGAATTTGTGAATATTCTTAGAAACTTTTGACCTCTCCTTTAGGCCAGTGTGATATATCCTTTCTAGCTCTATCCTCAAAGGAGAAAGGCTGTAAATATGATCTATTAAAACTCAAGTTCTGATTGACATAAGTTTCAGCGAATGAGATCACTGTGCCTGGAAAGTCACAGAACCACACTCTAATACTACTAATACTATTACTACTGCCACCAGTATCACTACTATTAATACCACTGCTACTAGCAAATACTTGCATAGTGCTCACTACATGTTAATCACTGTTCTGGACCTTTTATAAATGTTAACTCCTTTAGTTGTTACAAAGTTAATGTAGGTATAATTTTTAGGTAGGTATAAGGTAGGTATGCTTTTTATCCCTATTTTGTGGTTGGGGAAACCAAGGAAAAAGTGCCAGTAACTTACTTGTTGAAGGTCACACAATATGTTGCCTAATTGCCTAATCTGCCTTTAGAATCCACGTGGCTAACCACATGGGTATCCTGTCTGTTTTCAATCCATGTGTCAGGATTATTAACCCCTCCCATGTTGTCCTTGAGTCTAGTCAGGCCTGGATGCATCCATAGCAAGGAGGCAGCAAGCTCCCCTTAGACCTATGATGTATTCTCAATGCACATAAGGTTGTCTACTATATCCTCAGGCATGTCACAGCAGTAAACACAGCGGTCACTTGGTGTTTATAGTGCTACTGTTGTTCCCCCATAGCTTTTTAGAATGCTGAGGGGAGAAGAGGGAACTGGAAGGAGAGGGAAACATTTCTAGGTCTACTGGCCATATCACCGCATGGAAAGGCATGCTTGCATGCACACACACAGAACTTGATTCCTAATAAATGCTTCTTCATGTGTGTGTTTGAGACTGTTTCCTACACAACCAGGGTCCCCAAAAGGCTTAATATATTTACAGTCTATTTTCATGCAATGCCATGACACCTAGATTAAATTCTAAAATATTTAGACTAAAAAATGGGAAAATCATAACACATAACCCATTTTTGTGTTCCACTTTTACATTTCAGAATAACAAATGGAAATAAATATATGAAAGAAAAAATGTTTTTTATCCTTTGTTTCTTATTTTAAAATGTTTCTACCTTTGATAGAGATTTCAGGTTTCTTTCATATTTCTACATTCCCTAAAAACAATATTTTCATCTGTGACATCTTAATTTGACTCTTACAATAGAAATAGCCATTACCTTTGCAGCTTACCAATTTTCAGTAGTTATGCCTTGAGTGACAGAATAACTAACATTATTTATAAAATGAAAAATTCTTATAAAAATATGGTACATTTCGGCAACTGTAAAATACTTGTGACTGTTACTAAACAAGATAATGCCTATACTTCTCTCTCCCTTTAAAAATAATATTTTAGAATGAATTGGAAGAGACAAATTTTCTATATGGTGAAAACTCCTCACAACATTAGAGAAAATTACCATCCCATCAATGCATGATCATCTTGTCATATTCATAGTCTTGATAGCACTATTTATAGCTGGCAGAGAACAAAACTGCCTAATGTTTTCTCCTTAGAGTAAAAAATTGTCATTTCAAAATGTAAGAGAGTTGAGAATCTTTGTTTACCTGTGACGCGTATTGATTAATTCTCTCTTATGTCAGCAGAACTCTGGGCCACCCAGGAGACCTGTCAGTTACTCGGTCCTCTGAGGGTACTCTATGTCCATGAAGGAAACTGAGAATAACAAGGTCTTCCAGCTTCCCAACCATCCATACAGAGAGAGAGCACCAATACTGTCCATAACAGAATCATTTAAATTAGAGTGGGTCAGTTTCAATGGGTACATTTCAATTTAACCTAAAAGCATTGTCAGTGTGGAAAACCATTTTTATTGGTGCTGATCGTTGTATGCTATTTTCTTTTTCTTTTCTTTTCTTTTCTTTTTTTTTTTTTTGAGACGGAGACTCTCTCTGTCACGCAGGCTGGAGTGCAATGGAAGGATCTCAGCTTACTGTAACCTCTGCCTCCTGGGTTCAAGCGATTCTCCTGCCTCAGCCTACTGAGTAGCTGGGATTGCAGGCACCCGCCACCATGCCTGGCTAATTTTTGTATTTTCAGTAGAGACGGGGTTTCACCATGTTGGCAGGCTCGTCTCAAATTCCTGACCTCAGGTGATCCACCCGCCTCGGCCTCCCCAAGTGCTGGGATTACAGGCGTGAGCCACTGCGCCTGGGCATATGCTGTGTTGTTGATCTAGCTGAGTAGCACACAGGTGGAAGACCTGGTAACCCTCTTCACTATTGCCAAGTTCCCTCACTAATAGCTGCGGCCACAGGAGGAGGAAAGGTTCCTGACTCAAGAAAAAGGTGTAGCCTCCTGAATTATGCCCCCTCTTCTCTGTGAGAGCTGTAAATGGCTGCTCTGTGGATCTCGGTAATGGCAGTATTTATGCCATTACACATATGGGTAATAGTGGCTCAACAGTGCGGTTCCTGAGCTGGGAGATGAGACTCAGGGACATTCGGCACTCTGTTCTCTGTTGGTGTGCGGCCGTGTGGCCTGGTGCTCACGGTTTGCTGATGGCATCAAATTATAGTTTCTAGTTTCCTTGATGAATATGGGTATGAATTGAATGTATTTTGATTATGATACTGGAAATTAGAATACTTTTGGAATGAGTCACCCATCCCTACACCTTCCTTGTTTTATTTAGAATTATGCTCCAATTTTACCACTTGACTGTTTAAATGATTTTTAAACAAAAGAGGATAAAGCTGAACACAGTATAGGAAAAAGGTATATGCTTTAGCAACAGACAGCCTGGGTTTATTCATGTTAATTTATTCATTAAGCAAATATTTATGGTAATCCTAATGTGTGCCAACATTATTTTAGGCAAAAATAAAGTTTTGTTCTACTCATGATTACAAAAAATCACTTCATCTTTATGAGCCATAATTCTAACATTAATATGGGATTATAATACATACCAGCTAGACATTATGAGATATATATATATATATATATATATATATATATATATATATATGATACATCTATTGGTCCCAGCATATAATAGGTAACAAAAATGTAAGTTAAAGAGTATTATTATTTAAATAGTCCTAGCCATGTACTATTGTTATTATTATTTCTAGTGTATTAGTAGTGACATAAAGGGAGAGAAAAGTAAAAATCTTGAATTATTTATATTAAAAATGGTATAAATAACTTGTACTTATTTGTCTGATTAAACAAAGCTGGCACAAGTTTAGAAAAACTCATTTAGGCATTATTTAGTATCACTTTAGAAGGAGGCTTTTTGTATTTCAACAATCAAAACATCACATTGTACCCCATAAAGATATACAGCTATGATTTGTCAGTTAGAAATAAAAATCAAAAAATATTTTTGACCCTTGTGTGAATAAACTTCTAACCCTATGGAAAGCAATGGAAGACGATTTTTCTGAGACCTTATTTTTAAGAGTTTGAACACAAAAGGTAAAGTGTTATAATTTGTTTCTTAGATGGGGGTTGGTTTTCATCCCATCGGGTAGGGGATGTTATATTAAGTATGTTAAAAAGTACTGGGTGTGTTCATAAACTTTTGCAAAAATCTTGTGTTGGCACTGATATTTAGTTATAACAGTTTGTCAGATATCAGATTATTTCAAGAACTTTCAAAAGTCCTGATTGTGCTGATTTCTACATTTGGATTGGAACATAACTGATATTCAGTCAAAGTTCTTCTTTGGGTATTGACAGAATCTGAGTAACTACAGGAAACTGACAGATTAGATTCCAGACTCAGAGAAATGGTAAAAATTCATAGATTGTTCAAATGCATCCAGTTTTATTAAAATTATAGATCTTCTGCTAGTCACAATAGACACGATCTCAGGGCCACATTTTATTTATTCTTGTTTAACTCACTGCTTTGAAGTAGGGGAACCAGAGAAAAAAATGGATGTAGCAAATTATTTCCTCAAGATTGAAGAGAGAGCATGTCTCTTGCTAAGGGAAGTTTTGTGGTTACACAAGAAATTGAGTCTAAACTGAGCTGTTGTTGTAGCAGGAAAATAAATCATGTGAATTCAGTAGAAATACGGTGGCAAGTGTGGGTGAGCCGCCAGGGCCAGGGGTAAGGGCGTTGTAGTGGAGCAAGAGAGGTGACTTAGGTTGGTGCCAGGGCTGAAGGTTTCTCATGTAGCAGTTTTCAAATGTTCCTAGAGGGCATGCTTATGGGCAAGCTGAACTCATTTAATGGGCAACTCTGAAGGATTATGTTCGAAATAAGGCTTGGAGTCACAAAGAAAACAAACACTTAAACAAAGGATTTCTCAGCAAGGCAAACTTACTTCTCTAGAAGGGTGTTACTTGCAAGCTTGGTCGCCACGAGAACACACGGAACAAAGGAGGGAAGGGGTTTTTTATTCCTAACTCAGCTTGTCTCTACCACTGCATCCTGCATCCACTGGCTGGAGTTGGACTGCACAATCTAAGCTGAACTCAACAGGCTAACTTGAAAGGTGCAGGAATGTAGTTACACTGGCGGGAAGGGCAGTTTTGGTGGGAGAGGTAATTTACAGAGTGGGTAGCAGATGTGGGCTCTGTAGATAAGGATTGGCAGGAAAGTTGTTTACTGTGAAACCAAGACAGGAGGCACAAAGGATAAGGAAGTTAGTTTGGCCTTGCAAGTAGGGAACAAAGAACAAGGACACTGAACAAGCTAAACCTTTGAAGAGGAAATTCTTTTGTATTTGACAGATTACAAGTTAAAACTTTTTCTGGCCGTGCGCAGTGGCTCATGCCTGTAATCCCAGCACTTTGGGAGTCCAAAGCGGGCGGATCACAAGGTCAGGAGATCGAGACCATCCTTGCTAACATGGTGAAACCCCATCTCTACTAAAAATACAAAAAATTAGCCGGGAGTGGTGGCAGGTGCCTGTAGTCCCAGCTGCTCGGGAGGCTGAGGCAGGAGAATGGCGTGAACCTGGGAGGCGGAGCTTGCAGTGAGCCGAGATCACGCCACTGCACTCCAGCCTGGGCGACAGAGCGAGACTCCATCTCAAAAAACAAAAAAACAAGAAAAACCTTTTTCTATCTTAGGAAGTCCTTCAAAATCAAGTACCAGGTCGCCTTAAGACATCATTCAGAACTTGACAATTTATGCCTGCAGGTTTGGTATCCTTGGGGTTCTTACAGGTCTACCCTCTCTGCTTCTGGAGATCTCCACTTCCTCTTGGTTGCATTGGATTCTCATTGAAAGTCCTATTCCATTCTGTTGTTTTTCCCAGACTCATTTCAGTGGCAATGTAAATTTGGGAGAACGAAATTATCATCTCACATCTGCCACCAACTGCTGTTAGCTGTAGAATGTCATACGCGTCCATGTGAAGAGACCACCAAACAGGATTTGTGTGAGCAATAAAGCTTTTTAATCACCTGGGTGCAGGTAGGCTGAATCCAAAAAGAGAGTCAGCGAAGAGTGGTGGGATTAGCATTAGTTCTTATAGGTTTGGGATAGGTAGTGGAGTTAGGAGCAATTTTTTGTGGGCAGGGGGTGGATCTTACAAAGCACATTCTCAAGGTGGGGGGAATATTACAAAGTACCTTTATAAGGGCAGGGGAGGATATTACAAAGTACCTTCTCAAGGGCAGAGCGGGGGTGTATCATACAAAGTACATTCACAGGAGCAGGGGAATATCACAAAGTACATTATTGCAAGGGTGGGGAGGGTGTATTGTCACAAAGTCAATTGATCAGTTAGGGTGGAGCAGGAATAAATCACAATGGTGGAATGTCATCAGTTAAGGCAGGAACTGGCTATTTTCACTTCTTTTGTGGATCTTCGGTTGCTTCAGGTCATCTGGATGTATACGTGCAGGTCACAGGGGATATGATGGCTTAGGTTGGGCTCAGAGGCCTGACATAGAAAAGTCACTTGATCTGGGCATGAATGGCCTCAACATTGGGAAAGGTTGCACTGGATAATCTCTTGGATATTTTTAAACAGCAGAGGGAAAAAAAAACATATCTTAATGCTGCATTCTTATTGTATATCCGAAGTATTGATCCATAAAAAGTAATTTAGGTGCTGATTGCTTTTCCTTATTCCATTTGTAATTATGAAGAGGATTCTGAGAAGTTGGGTACTACTGTTGCAAGTTTCCACTTTATGCCAATCAGCTATAAGGTACCAGATAATTATACAGTATTATTTAAAACCAGGGAATGGATTCAGATTTTGTGAAAACTGAAGTGGACAAAAATTTGATAATACAAAATGACAAACACTAAATTATGAATAAAGTTAAAAATTTATGTAAAATGAGAAAAGAAATAACAATATATCACCAGTACTAAATTGATGGCAATTATCAAAACATCAAAAAATCCAAAATAGGCTGGGCACGGTGGCTCACGCTTGTAATCCCAGCACTTTGGGAGGCCGAGGCAGGCAGATCACAAGGTTAGGAGATTGAGACCATTGTGGCTAACACAGTGAAAACCCGTCTCTACTAAAAACACAAAAAATTAGCCAGGTGTGGTGGTGGGTGCCTGTAGTCCCAGCTACTTGGGAGGCTGAGGCAGGAGAATGGGGTGAACCCAGGAGGCAGAGGTTGCAGTGAGCCGAGATCGTGCCACTGCACTCCAGCCTGGGCGACAGAGTGAGACTCCATCTCAAAAAAAAAAAAAAAATCCAAAAGAATACATAATTTAAGTGCTAAAGCACCATTTTCCTACATTTTTCTTCCATGCTTAAGCTGCACACATTTGACTGCTTCTTTATATGATAACAATTTTTTAATATTAGTTGAAATAAAGGAATTTATTTTAAAAGAGAGAATAGAGTGATTCTTTTTGGATGACAGATTTTCTTTTAAAAATTACTGATAATTTGGGTAATATTTAGCTTTACAGCTCATTATTGGCAATCATTGTAATTTTTAGAACTGTTTTAAAATTTGGTAACAAATGTTTTCTAGGCTGGGCGCAGTGGCTCACGCCTGTAATCCCAGCACTTTGGGAGGCTGAGGCAGGCGAATCACCTGAGGTCGGGAATTTGAGACCAGCCTGACCAACATGGAGAAACCCCATCTCTACTAAAAATACAAAATTAGCAGGGCATGGTGGCGCATGCCTGTAGTCCCAGCTAATCGGGAGGCTGAGGCAGGAGAATCGCTTGAACCAGGGAGGCAGAGGTTGCGGTGAGCCGAAATCACACCATTGCACTCCAGCCTCGGCAACAAGAGCAAATCTCCATCTCAAAAAAAAAAAAATGTTTTCTATTTGTTTTTATACAGCATAATCTTAAACTGTATGATTACAGGATTTCAAAATTCTTTCCTCCCAATCCTTGCCCCATTGTCACACACTTCACTTTTACACATGCTGTTAGCAAATAATCTCTTTTTGATCTTCTTGATTTAAACAGTCAATTATCTTTTAGAACAATTACAATTTTAAAAAGACATCATTATACTTTTATTCACTCCTTTGGTGACATTCTTCATTTCTTTTTGTAGATCCAAGTTTCTGACCTAGATCATCTTCCATCTATTTAAAGAACTTCTTTTAACTTTTCATAAGAGTAGGTCTCCCGGCATTGAATTATCTGTTTTTGTCTTTGAAAAAGCCTATTTCTGGCCGGGCGTGGTGGGTCATGCCTGGAATCCCAGCATTTTGGGAGGCTAAGCCCAGACGATTGCTTGAGACCAGAAGTTCAAGACTCCTGGGCGGCATAACAAGATGCTCATCTCTACAAAAAATAGAAAATTAGCCAGGCACAGTGGTGAGCGCCTGTAGTACTAGCTAGTTGGGAGGCTGAGGATGGAGGATCAATTGAACCAATAGTTTGAGGCTGCAATGAATTATGATTGTGCCACTGCACTCCAGCCTGGGTGACAGAGCAAGACTCTAATTTTTAAAAAGTCTATTTCTGCTCCTTATTTGAAGAATATTTTCAATGGGTATGTCATTCTAGGTTAACATTTTATTTTTCTTTCATCAGTTTAAAGTATCTTGCCCTCTTACTTGTATGATATCTGATGAACAAGTCTGCTATAATTTTTATCCTTGATCTGTAGGTTATACATTTTCCCCCTCAGATTGCTTTAAATATTTTTTTCTTTGTATTTGATTTTCAGCAATTTAAATATGATATGCTAAGGTGAGACTTTGTTGAGGGCATTTATCCTGTGTGGTGTTTTCTGTACTACTTGAATCTTTGGTTTTGTGTCTATCACCAATTTTGAAGAATATTCAGTCATAATTTCTTCAAGTATTTATCCTTCCCTATTCTCTTTTTATTTCCTTCTGGGATTCCAATTATATGTATGTTAGACCCTTTGATGTTTATTTACAGCTTTTGGATGCTCTGGTTCTCTTTCCCTGCAATTTCTTTTCCTCACTTCATTTCAGTTTGGTAAGTTATATTAACTTGTCTTTAAGCGCTGCGATTTATTGGTTTTCTTGAATCATCTGATGAGCATGTGGAAGTCATTATTCATCTCTATTACTGTTTTTTTTTATTTCTAGCATTTCAATTTGATTTGTTTCTTATAGTTTTCATCTCATTGATAAAATTATTTAGCTGAACTTGTATGTTGCTTACTTTTTCCATTAGTACGTTTAACATATTAATCATAGATTTTTTTTAAGTCTCTAATAGTTCCAACACATGTGATATCTGAGTCTGGAGTTTTGTCTCTTTAGATTGTGCTCTTTTTTTCTTGTCTTTATGTGTGCTTCATAGTTTTTTATTGTAAGAGACATGCTGTATAGGACAATAGATACTGAGGCAAATATTTTTTATGCTTAAAGGTGAAAAAGTTTTTTTTTTTCTGCTAGGTCTTTAATATGGGACAAGTGGTTATTTGTAAAACAAGTAAACATAACTATTTTATGTTCTGTGAAATCTTAATTTTCTTCTAAGTTTATACTACTTTTGTATTGGAATATAAGAGACAGGATTCCTAAGAGTATAAAAAGTATTCTTTTTAAGTATAAATTTAAAAGTATAAAAAGTATTTTTTTAAAAAAGAATGTGTGTTTGACCATGGGCTGAGGCTGGAACAGGACACAGTTATTGCTTAAAAGAGTACAGAGTTTCCTTTTGGAATGATGAAAAAGATCGCTTCTTGGCCTTTTGGCTAGGACCAAGTGTGGAGTGATAAAAAACTTCTGGAAATGGATACTGGCAATGGTTGCACAACCTGTAAATGTACTTAATGTCACTAAATTGTACATTTAAAGTAGTTAAAAGGGCAAATGTTATGTTATGTTTATTTTACCACAATAAAAATATTTTTAAAATAAAAAGTGTGTTCAAGAAGCATCAATTTTGTGCCTCTTGTATTATGCACTTAGATTCTTCGTAGATATTATTTTTATCATGATTTTAAAAAGTACAAGCAGTACTTTATTAAGTATAGGAGAACGAAGTCATTACTCATAATACCAGGCCTTAGCAACTGATCACAACACTTTTAGTGAAGT
Source organism: Homo sapiens (assembly GCF_000001405.40). Taxonomy (NCBI): domain Eukaryota; kingdom Metazoa; phylum Chordata; class Mammalia; order Primates; family Hominidae; genus Homo; species Homo sapiens. Next base: position 238,280,242 of record NC_000001.11, read on the forward strand.
AAAACTGAGGTTGTTGGTTATTTTGTAGATGTTCTATTAACTTTACAAACACTTAACTTCATATTCCATCTGTTTTAGATTTCTGCTTAGGAGTGTTCTGATTCTTACAATTGTCTTATTTCTTCTGTTGGTATTTTAAGCATCTGTTTTTTTAAATTATTTGGCATGACTCTTTTTTTTAATTTCCATGATTTTGACCATCATGGTATTTAGTCTCTACTATGCTATAAGAATTTTGGAAAATTTGAAGGTTTGGACAATTTTCTTTATTTTACATTTTTGGCTTCCACAACAATACTTTCTTCCTATAATGTTTGACTATTTGGATTGATTAGTAACTCTGGAAAAATATAAACATAATCTGAAAATAAACATATCCAAGAGTGATATAAATATTTTTCAAAATTGCTGTTCTTTTGTATTGAACTATGTAGTTATACAAATTGTTCTTATGCTATGTACATTGACCCTTTAGTTTGTGTTGATTGGTAGATAGAGGGGGATAGATAGGAGGATAGAGGAGGATAGGTATAGAGACATGTTTTTCAGACTGTTTTGCTGCATTGATTTAATGTTGCATGCCATTTCGTCTGAACCCTCAAGACTTTTTCAGGTCAAGATGTCAGATACTCTAAGATGGGGTTTAATATGTTGCTGTGCATAAAAATTGTAAGTTCCTCCATAGATACACTTTCTTTTTTTTTTTTTTGAGATGGAGTCTTGCTCTGACGCTTAGGCTGGAGTGCAGTGGTGCAATCTCGGCTCACTGCAACCTCTGCTTCCCAGATTGAAGCAATTCTCCTACCTCAGTCTCCTGAGTAGCTGGGATTACAGGCATGCACCACCACGCCCGGCTAATTTTTGTATTATTAGTAGAGACAGTGTTTCACCATGTTGGTCAGGCTGGTCTCGAACTCCTGACCTTGTGATCCACCCGCCTTGGCCTCCCGAAGGGCTGGGATTACAGGCGTAAGCCACCGTGCCTGGCCCATAGATATACTTTCTAATTGTAATATTGTGAAGCGGTTTGTGTCCTGTAAGGACAGACATTTTGTTTGAGTCTATTTTTCATTATTCTAGTCTGAAAAATATATGGTACACTTATGGTCATATATGTTATATCCCCAATTTATTCTTGTTTTAATAATTTTTCACAGGCCACATGCATTTCAAATCTTGTTTCTCCTCCATCAGCACATACTACAGGTGACAAGTATTATGAAGCATTAGGAAGCAGGAGTAGTCTTATACTGGATCAAGTAGCAATAACATAAGATTGCACAAAAATGACTTTAAGCCACAAATATATATCCACTAAACCCAAATTAAATGTATCCTCAACTCAACTTCCCCTTCGCTGGACTCCAGACTATTCTAAGCCATTCCAACATCATTAGTCATAGGAGGAAATATGCTGAAGGCAAGATGATCAGAGTGGAGAGAGTGGTCTTCACTAATTATAGTTAAAACTTATTACTTTTGTAACTTTTGGAAAAATATAGTCCATGTGACTATATAGAGTTCTCTCACAATTTTTTCAAGGGACTGTGCAAGTGAGATCCTCTGAATCTTAAACTTCATTTGACCAGGGTAAGTTTGCTTTTCTTAAAAATACTCATTAGAGTAGTTTTCTAGAATATTCTAGAAGGATATCTATTCTATTTGAACAGATTTGTATCTGTGTATCCATTAGAGAATACTCATAGACACATTTCTTCCCTGCTTATTAGTTAAGTCTGATTGTGGCTAATATTAAATCCAGAAAATGGTTATTGGGTGATGATTATAGCTCTTCTTGGAATAACACCAGTAATTACTTCAGGATTCTCTTCAGAATTCTTCCCACACTGTCTTGGCAATTGCAATTTATCACATCTCACATTCTAACCAGATTTAGGATGGGCTTTTCATGTCCCTGTCCTGTTCTCTTCCATTGCTGCACCAGCCAGGGTCCCAGACAGCCCTTCCCTTCCTTTCCCCTGTAGATACTATGTCTGTTTGGCACATTGTAGGCAATTAGGGAGGGTGGAGTTATAGAAAAAGCTGCCCGTTGTTAGAATTCAGAACAGGTGGTAGATTATGAATCCAGATATTGAAAGTGAGGTAGTGAAGTCTCCTACTCTTACTGTATTGCAATCTATTTCTCCCTTCATATTCTTTCAGATTCTTTAATATTCACTTTATGTATTTAGGTGCTCCAATGTGCATACATGTTTACAAATGTTATATCCTCTTGATGGATTGACCCTTTTATCATTATATAATGTCCTTCTTTCTCTCTTTTTACAGGTTTTAACTTGAAGTCTGTTTTTTTTTTCTGATATAAGTACAGCTAAACTTCCTCTTATTTGGATTTCCATTTGCATGATTTTTTTTTCCATTTCTTCACTCTCAGATTATGCTTGTACTTAAACACAACAGTGAAGTGATTCTTCAGAACACAGCATACAGTTGGGTCTCTTTCAAGCCCATTCAGTCACTCCGTGTCTTTTTACTGGATAATTTAATCCATTTACATTGAAAGTAATTATTGATTGATAAGAATTTATTACTGCTATTTAAAAAAATTGTTTTCTGCTTGTTTTGTAGATGCTGTTTTTTTTTTTTCCCCTTCTCTCTCGCTGTTTTCCTTTGTGGTTTGATGGTTTTCTGTATTGGTAGGCTTTGAATTCTTTCTAATTTTTTTTGTGCGTCTACTATAAGTTTTTGCTTTGTGGTGACCATGAGGCTTACATAAACCATCTTACAACAGGCTGCTTCAAGCTGATAACAGCCTAACTTTGATTTCATAAAACAACTCTACAGCTTTACTCCTACCCCTATCATATTTTATGGCTTTGATATCATTTCATAATATGTATCTCTGATCATTTATTTTAGTTACAATTGTAATTAATAGTTTTGTCTTTTAACTTCTGTGCTAGGGATAAAATTCTTTACACACCAACATTACTGTCCTAGTGTGTTCTGAATTTGGCTTTTCATTACTTCGAGAATTTGTGCTTTTTTAAGTTTTATTTTATTAATTGGTAGCCTTTTGTTTCAGCTTACTGAGCTCCCTTTAGCAATTCCTGTAAAACGGGCCTAGTGATGATGACCTCCCTTAACTTTTGTTTGTCTAAGAATGTTTTTATTTCTCTCTCATTTCTTAAGGACTGTTTTGCTGGGTAAAGCATCTTTTTGTGGTTGTTGGCAGTTTTTTTTTTTCCTTCAGCACTTTGATTATATCATTCTATTCTCTTTTGGCTTGCAGGGCTTCTGCTGAGACATCTGCCAATAGTCACATTGAGACACCTTTATAAATGCTATGTTTCTTATCATTTACTGCTCTGAGAATTTTTTCTTTGTCTTTGATTTTTAATAGTTTAATTATTAGATGTCTTTCTGAACTCCTCTTGGTGTTAAATTTTATTGAGATTTCTGTACTTCCAGTACCTAGATGTTGGCATTTTTGCCCAGATTACAAGTTTCCAGCTATTATATGTTAAAATATGCTTTCTGTTGTTTTCTCTTTCTTTTTTTTTCCTGAAATACATATTATGTGAAAGTTAGATCTCTTGATAGTGTCCCATAATTCCTGTAGGCTTTCTTCATTCTTTGTCATTTTTTTTCTTTCTGTTTCTCTAACTTAATAATCTCAAATAGTCTGCCTTTGAGCTCATTGATTCTTTAGCTTGATTAAGCCTGCCCTCAAAGCTTTCTATTGCATTTCTTGGCTCATCATTGTACTCGTTACCTCTGAGATTTCTATATTTTTAAAAATTTTTTACCTGTTCCTTAGATAAATTTCTCAGTTGATTTCTGTATTCTTTTTCAAATTTTATGTAATTTTTTAATTGATATATTCTTGTAGTTCACTGACCTTGTTAAGGATTATTCTGAATTCTTTGTCATTTCATACATCTCTTTCTTTAGGGTACATTGTTGTAGCTTCATTAGTTTCCTTTGGATGTGTTATAATTTCCTGAGTCTTTGTAATCCTTGTATTCTTGTATGCTTGTGCATTTAAGGAGACAGCCACCTCTTTTGGCTTTTACAGGTGTTCTTCAGCAGGGAGAGACCTATACTATTTAATCTAGCCTGTAATTCTCTATGGGCTAGCTGGTAATGACCCTGAGCAGGCATAGCTTGCCCTGTGGTTCTCTAGATAGATGGACTGCTGCCTTTTCTCTGAGTTCAGGTGGGGAAGCAGCTGGGCTCTGCTTTCTGGCAAGACCACTGACTAAGCTCTGTTATCAGGCTGCATTGCTGTATGGACACTGCAGTCAGTTCTGATCTGGCTGGACCACAGGGTGTATTTCCTTGCCAGATGTTATTTTAGCTCAGCAGTTGAGCAGGGTTGCAGGAGAGGCTCCAAATTCAGGTGGAGTTGCTGACCTGGAGGGATGTGACCAACTACTCTGCTCAGTAGAAATTCACGGTTGAAGTTTGTCTCTGCTTCGGTAGGCCCTCAGGGTGGGCTTTGAGGCTTGTCTGAGCACTGTTCAAACTACTGGATGTGGCAGAATTAGCCCCTACATTTTTCTGAAATGCACGGTGGTGGTAGTCTGTCTCCTTGGGCTGAGTATGAAGCTGGTCCTGGAGGCTGACGGTCTAGGGATTCTAGCCAGGTTGAACTTCCCACACTTCTGGGAGCCACCAGCTTGGTTTTATAAGATGGATTATGCTGTTTCCTGTTACCTCTCCTCAGGTGCCGTTGCTGGCAGGGACACAGAGGTACCATCAAGATCTGTGAGCTGGTCACTATGGGCTCTGTCTCCTTGCTTTGTTTTTACCTGATCCCAAGTGGTCTAGCTGTGCCATTTCCTCCCATTCTCTGTAAGCTGAGACCAGAATGGGCTTCCTGGAAAAAGCATTTCATAATGTTCGGGAAGCTGGGTGTCTACCTCTAGTTCTCTTTCCCATTGTAGAAGCTGGACCTCGGGGAATTATTGTGTGGCACTGTGCTGACTTGGGGGAGAGGGACTTGGGTCTCATCCAAATGAGACCATTTCTCTCACCCATTAATAAGTTTTTATTCAGTTCTGTGGATGACAAAGATGATTTGGGCTTATTACCAACTTTTGGGATTTCAAGCAACACATTTTTAACCGTGAATAGTTGCTTGTTGAACTTTCTGTGGGGGTAGTGAAGTCTGAGACCTCCTATTTCACCATCTTACTGACATTCTCTTCATACTCTTTAAAAATATTTTTAAAAAACTTCAAAAATAAGAATTTATATATTGTATCTTAAGCACTAATTTTTAGTGAATCTTAACTGCTTATAAGACCTTTATTTCTTCCTTTTATGATATAATTTTACTGATGTGGTGGCTAGTTGTACATATCACCTTAAGTGCTTCACTATCTTTTTTAAAACATATATACTCCATTCTTCACAAGGCACTTTTTCTCTTTGTCTCCAATACTTCCCCTTAAAGAAAGACTTTGACTCCTTTGCTCACTGGGGTTTTATTTCCAAAGCTATCTAGATAGGTATTTAATGCAAGTGAGGCATAGCAATTTTTAAATTTTGGATGAGGATGGAAGACTTCATATTGTGTATATAAGTGGAATGTCCCTTTATCCTCCTTTCTACCCTCTTGTTACTCACAGTAAGTTAAACATCAGGCTTCACTTGGCAGATTCTCTGACAGTTCCTTTGGCATGGAGAGCTGAGCCTATTTGGGAATTCTTGAAGTGGCTCTAAAAAATGGTCAGTTCCAAATCCACCTGCAATTCTGAATAGGTCTGTGAATATACAGACTTTTTATTTGTACATATTTTAAACTGGATTTTCAAAAATCAGAGCATTATGTCTGCATTATGTTAATTTGAATATATAGTTGGAAAAAGTCCTCACATGGTTGCTGTTATTGACATCTTAATTGTGTACCAGAAACCCAGGGAGTTGTGATGATTCCTGAGGTCTTGAGGCCAAATAACTTCAAATACCTCTAAGTTTTCTGGGACAAGAAAAACATTAAAAAACAAAGTGTGGATGAGTACTACTGATTTGCTTTCTGATTTAGGTGAAAACTATTTTCAGTGATGATGCACGTGTTACTTGAAGTCAATGTTTCTGAGTATGTATCTTTTGTTTTTGTTTTTGTTTTTTTTTGAGAGGGAGTCTCGCTGTGTCGCCCAGGCTGGAGTGCAGTGGCATTATCTTGGCTCACTGCAAGCTCCGCCTCCCGGGTTCACGCCATTCTCCTGCCTCAGCCTCCCGAGTAGCTGAGACTACAGGCGCCCGCCACCATGCCTGGCTAATTTTTCGTATTTTTAGTAGAGACGGGGTTTCACCATGTTAGCCAGGATGGTGTCGAATTCCTGACCTCATGATCCGCCCGCCTCGGCCTCCCAAAGTGCCGGGATTACAGGCGTGAGCCACCACGCCTGGCCCTGAGTCTGTATCTTGATGCACGTGAGATACTATGGAAAGTCCTTGGATGGAAATTATAACAAAAAAAAAAAAAAAAGAAATTGCCTATTTGTAACTGTTAACTTGAGTGTTAAACCTGTACTAATTTGATTTTAGGGTAGAGGAGATGAGAAGGTAGAATAAAGAAAAATAAATGAAAGGTAGAATTAGTGGAAGAGTGGAATTAAGGTCATCAACATAAATATGTAACAGCATTAAAATAGCAAATCAATGATGTATATATAATTACTGCCTGTGTGTATGTTGATGCAGTTGTTTTGATCTGAATCTATCTTTAGATGGAGTGCAGATATTTTCATCCAGAAGTTCTTAGATGATGTGTTCCAATCACTTTATAGAGTGGCTTCTTCTTCAGTAAGTTGAGAGGTATCCTTGGAGGACAGTGATGTATAACACCACATATGAACAGTTGCTAAATAGGTCCTTTTAAATGTTATCATATTCTAGACCAAAATTAAAATTTAGGACATCCAAATAAACATTCAAGGCTCTCCTCTCCCAGTTGGGAATTACTATAATTATTCAGTCTCATTGCACATTTCGATCTGCTCATTGAACTACTGACAGTGCTTCAGTTCCCTGAACTTAGCATGCAGGCTATAGCAGCGTTGAGGTAAAATAAGACTTTCCTAAATTAGATATAGTTTTTGTGCTTTATTCTTAAAAACTGACAGAATATTATTTTGAGATTTTTCTCTGGGTCTATTACTTCAGATATTCTAATTATAATGGTCAAGTCCTCTTTCAAAATGGCTCACAGAACTGAAGGTGTCTTATTCATTGCATAAGAGGCTTTATAGGGAAATAACAGAGTAGGCAGTCTTATCATATAATAAATATGGGTCTGTCATATTTCATATTGTATAATAATAAGTAGATGGGATAGTATATTTGCAATGTGGCCCAGGTAATCTAAGAATATTACTGTTTATTTCCTCATTTATGATTTTTGTCTTTTTTAAAATAATCTTTTTCATGTGTTTTGGGTAAGAAAATGACTCCAATTTGGTTAATAGCTATAACAATTCATGTTTATATTCTAGGAATAATTCCAAATCCCAAAATAAATAAATAACTTTAGTCTTTAGATTGAAGATAGAAAGTGAATCATAATTTTCACAAAAAAACACTTTCAACTAACCTAATTCTTATCTCAGTTCCTCTAACTTTTGAATAATAGGTACGGAAAAATAAGAAAATCATTTTTCTTGAAAGAAATTGATATTTTGTACTCAGCTAATATCTCCAAACCATCTTAGTAACATACAAAATCTTCTTAATCAATACTTTGTACTTGAAACACATAATTAGTTTCTATGTTTAGGAACTATGTAACAAGTTTACCTCTGGCATTCAAGAGTTTTCACAACATGAGACAATTTCATATGTTTTTCATCTTCACAACTGTACTCTATTATTTAATTGACAGGCCTTACAACTTCTGCAGACAAGGATCCTGAGAAATGTTGATTGGATTGCTTAAGATGACATGGGGATCCAGTAACTTGGGGATGGTGGCTAACATTTAGCTTTGCTTATTTAACCTCATAAAACTGTTGTGTGAATCAGCTCAAATAAAGTATTGAATGTGGAAGAGCATTGGGAACTGTAAAGTTCTGTACCTTTTTCTCTTTCCATCCTCTTATCTCCTCTTCATAAGTAATATCTATGGGTTATATTGCTATACATTTTAAAGCTATGTAGGGCCATATATCTTTTGCCATACAGAAACTTTTGGAACAAATTTTCTTTTTTTCTGGTTCCATAATGAAAACATTATACATCATAAAGGAAGACAGCACTTGCTGCTTGATAGCAGATGGTGAGTGTGTATTTTTGTTGACTGTAGGGGCAGAGATGGGTGTTGTCATTCACCCACTCCTGAACATGAGTGTCATGAAGTTACAAAGGCCTCCTTTGCTGGGCAGTCAAGAGGAGAAGCTAGTGCAGAGCAGAGAGCAAAGCTAGCAGCCACGTGGCAGGCAACTCCACACCCTCTCCTATGGCATATTTCAGCCACTTTGGGGTGCCCTAAGAAGGCTATTTTTATGAGTATTTTGGAAGCACCTCCTTGCAGAGTAGACCCTCCCTCACTGAACTGAGTATCAGCAACTCAGCAAATAGTTCTTAGCTAGAAAGGGAAGTAGGTGTAAGTACTACATCTTCATTCTGACTTACCAATAACTTTTACTCGTCTGTATTTCTATTTTGTTTTGCATTTGTCTATGGAGAATTAATTTTACCAGAGGGTGTTAGAGAATACCCTCTGTATTTTTATATATACAAAAAATATACAAAATATATTTTGTAAATAACTCTCTACCTATTGTTTGCATTAGGCAGTACTCTCTTTCACAAGAGAAATTCCCTTGACCTTGCTGTCAAAAGGGCTATTTTCAAATCTGAGCTGCCAAACAGCAGGTCTGGTTGTGGATGATAACTTTTATGAGGAGGAAATAGAGTTGAATATGCCTGTAATTCTTAAACTCCCTATCATTACCAATACACTGTATTTCATTTCCATTTTTTTCTAATTGAATTAGTATACAATTAGCTTCATAGACACTTTTATGTCTGTTTCAGCATTAAAAGCATACTAGTAATAGGCGATACTTTTATAGCACTTGCTTCGAACTACATGCCAGGCCCTTAACCAAGTACTTCATACATATAATTAAGTCATTTAACTCTCTCAACAATTCATGGGGTAAGTATTGTAATTATCAAACCACTTTTATAGAATAGAAAACTAAGACACAGCCAGTTAAAGTAACTTGCCCAAGGTCAAACAAGTAGCAATTTCTGAATGAATTAGAAGCCTACAAAGGATCAAGAGTCCTTCATTTCTACTGCTATGGTAAACTGCCTTGAATGCTTTGGAGAACTTTCATGCTGATAACTCATGGGCTAGGATTTCAAAAGCTAAACATTTTAGGAGAATTCAAATTGCGCCATGTGTTATTTAATTCATCACTGAGCAAATTAAATTTCAATGAGAGAAAGCTCTTTGACCATTATTTTGATTTACGATTTTTTTCCTGAACTTCATATAATATTGTATTTTCATTTTCATTTTTCACTGTTAATATAATATGCCCACACTACAAAATGTTTGAGAACTATGAACAAAATCAATACAAATGCAATCAGTATAACATGTTGATGGTTTTGTTTTTATTAAACCACTTGTAGTGTTTATCTCTTGGCATACTTATGTCTTATAAATGTAACCATAATGTATATGTGAATTTTGGGAGCTATTTCCTATAAATACTGTAATATAAATTGGTTATTCCCAACTTTTTCCTATAATGAAAAACAAAGAAATTATATTTGTACAATAGAATATAAATATTTCAGCACGTCTATAGCCTTTCACAACTTACTAGTTTCTCTTTCCCAACATAGGTTGGGATACTTTGTTCCTTTCCCATGAATGCAGTGGTATTGTTTGACTGATCGACCAATAGAATATAGTGGAAGTTAGGATATGCTAATTTCAAGAATCAAGTCTTTAAAATCTGTTAGCTTCTGCTTCCTGTTTATTTAAACACTCTCTCTGGGACCTCCTGAGATTCCATTTAAGAAGTCCAACTCCCCTGAGACTGTAATGCTCAAGAGGCCAAATGTAGATACTCCAGCTACAGACACAACTGAGTGCAGTCTTCCAGCCATCCCTGCCAAGAGATGTGCGCAAAGCCATTCTAGACTCTTCAGACCAGCCAGCTCATCAGCTGGGTATTGTATTAATTAAAATCAAGTGGAGCAGAAGCAAAGCTCAGCTGAGCGTTTCCCAAATTTCATCCAGAAATTGTGAGCTTTAATAAAATGGTTGTTTTCAACCACTATGTTTTGGAGGTAATTTGTTTTACAGCCATAGCTAATCAGAAGACTTGATATATCTCTCCTTTACGGTGGCTACTTCACTTCCAACTTGTTTGCATAGACTTATTGATGCTGGAAAGCAGGACGTATAATGGTCCTAAGAGAGGAATGTATTCTAAATTTGCCTTTGCGGGAACTTCTGCATTGGAATTTTCAAAGGTGGCAGAAAGGCCAGTCAGCCAGTAGATGAATACTACATTGGGTGGTAAAAGAAATCAAAGGAGTCTCAGATCGCTTAACTGTTATTAGTTTTGGTTTGGTTTGGTTTTCAGGAAAATTATAACAACGCCCTTTCAGTAAGTTTGGCTGAAGGAAGACATTTCGTATTTTTTTGGTGATACAGATAAAAACAAGAAGATACAAGGCTGATCATGTATTTGAGATGAAGAAGACCAGAGCCTGTTCTCTTTTGGAGAGTTGATAAATATTTGTGAATTTATGGCTGTGTTGAGCAAAGTTGAAAGGAGAGAAGGATAAAAATCGACCCATAGCTAGGATTAATTTTAATGATTTCCATACCATCTATTGGTGTTTGAAATTGTTATGATTAAAAGAGAAATCATAAAAGATAACATTTTTAAAATTATCATAGAATAATTTACTTTATGTCTTTCTTCAACATTGCTTCTTTATCAACATTTGCTAACCCAATAAATGTTTTGGTAGTTTTATAAGAGACAAATACACAGTATTGAGCAAAACGCAATTATTTCTGCCCTTAAGGGACTTACAGCTTAGTGAAGGAGACAATAATTATACAAATAAGTGCACATATGACCGTGCACACATAGTACTAACTAAAAGCTAAATTGCTATGAAAGACAAAAAACCCAAATGGAGAATATCTAAGAAGTTGGGAGGAGGGATTATTATGTTGTGAGGTTTTAGAAAGAGCTTCTCTGAGGAAAGTACTCAAGTTTGAACAGAGACCTGGAGGATGAATAGAATTTAGTCAAATGAAAAGTAAAGTGAATGATGATGATTCCTTGCAGGAGAAATATGTGTGACGATCTGAAGGTAATGAAGAGCTTAAGACACTGGAGGAATCCGAAAATGTCCAGTGTGAAGGGAACAAAGTGAGATCAGGAGACAGTGGTTCTGGATGAGGTGGGAGGGCAGGCAGGCACCAGATCTCTTAGGGCCTTGTAGGCCATGGCAAGAATTGGATTATTGTAAGTGTAGCAGACTTTATCGAAGAATTTTAAGAAGGGGACACATAAGTCCCGGGTTTGCTAATCTCTCTGGTAGCTACAAGGAGAATAGCTTGGATGAGGGTGAGTTAGCACATATTGTAATATTTATATGAATTCACGATCTGACTCAGCAGGTCTGGAATAAGGTTCAAGAGTCTGCGTTTCAATAGGTGCCAGGTGATACCAATGCTGCTGGTCCTTGAACCACATTTTACATAAGTGATGCAGGCAGCAGTAGAGAAATTTCCCCGAAGCCTTACCCTTCCTGTCTATTGAGACAAAAGCAGCTATTTATCCCCTAAATATCTTTTCAGTAACCTTGAGTGAGTTGACCTTCTCCATGTTTTTGTTTCCCTATTTTAAGAGACTGCTTACATTTTATCAAAAATGAAAGAAATATAATTTTCTTCTAGGCAATCTTTTTTTCTTTTTTTCTTTTTTTTGGTGGGATGGAGAAAAATGCACCTCTTTTTGTCCGATTTTGTTCTCACTGAATTCTAATTTTAGAATTAATACTTAATGTTTTTCCTTGTTTTCTCCTGTATAAAAATATTCACTTACATTAATTCCCCCAACATGAGGATCTTTGCTTGGACATTGAAACAATTAAATTTAAAACCTCTGCAGGATAGATGTAATGATTGTATAATTCACATCCCACACAAAACTAATTTCCCATTATGAGAGATTGCTTCCTTAAAACACATGACTTAAGTAACATTATTAAATTAAAATGCATATTATGCAAATGTGACATATTTGGAAAATGTCACTTAAACCATCTATTTTTCTTAAATATATTTTGATTGTTAAAAGGTTACCATATTAATAAGTAGCTGTCTATATAGTGGCTAAATGGGTCAATGTGAGGATTAAATGAAATAAATAATGCTGTATAACAGCATTTAGAAAAGGATCAGTCTCATGGTACCTCTGTGTAATTAGATCCCATTTTCATTACTGTAACAGTTTGAGTCTATGGTTGTAATTAAGATAATAAATCTAAATTTTACCTTATAGTATTTGTTGTAAGTAAAAAGCCACACTGGACAAAAATATTTACTACAGTTTAAAAATATATTTTAATTATTATTGTATGATGCCTATTTTGGCAGCTTAATGGTATTTTCTTTCTAAATTAGTCCAGGACTAATAATTGCAAAGACTGATTTACTCAATGTCAAAAAAAATAGAATGTCTGCAGCAGTTATTCAGAAACTTTGATGATATATACATTTTGCATTTCCTCTCAATCTGATTTTACTTTTTGCTATGGAATCTAAAAATACTAAAGAAAATCCCTCTGAGCTATGCGTATTTACCTGAAATAGTCAGAGTGGAGTCATATTTTTGATGTAGTGTAAGGCTGCCTTGCCCCCAAATATCTCCCACAATATCTGTTTGTATGCCATCGTATCAGTTTCCCTGTGCTATCTGAAATTCCACCACTGACAGACATGTTAATTTTCCTCTTAACACCTAAAGGAGGTCCGTCAAATGGCAGGGAGGAGGAGGTAAGAAAGGATTTGGTAATGAAGAAGGGCAAGGTAGGCCTGGGATCCTTGGTGAAGCTCCCCGGGCTGCTTGCAGGCAGTACTAGGCTGATGAATGCTTGCTGCTAGGAAAGGGAAGGCAGGGTTCCAGCACTTTAGAAGAGACAGGGAGAGGATTAAGTGGTGCCCAGAACTACCTTCTCTTACAATTCAATTTTCTCTAAGACACTCTCCATTCTTTTTTTTTTTTTTTTTTTTCAGATGGAGACTCGCTCTGTCGCCCAGGCTGGAGTGCAGTGGCGCGATCTCGGCTCACTGCAAGCTCCGCCTCCCAGGTTCAGGCCATTCTCCTGCCTCGGCCTCCCGTGTAGCTGGGACTACAGGCGCCCGCCACCACGCCCGGCTAATGTTTTCTATTTTTAGTAGAGACGGGGTTTCACTGTGTTAGCCAGGATGGTCTCCATCTCCTGATCTCGTGATCCACCCGCCTCGGCCTCCCAAAGTGCTGGGATTACAGGTGTGAGCCACCGCGCCCGGCCAACACTCTCCATTCTTACACAGACATTATTCATTTTCAATTATAATGGTCCTTCTCTTTTCAGCACAAAGCAATTAGCAGGGTCACGGAAGGGCCATGAGATGGAGAGAGGTGGCTATGGTGGCTTCCAGGTGGCATGCCTACGGATATGAGGTTCAAAGCAAGAGATGATGTGGGAGGTGTAAAGACCCCACCCCCCCCCACCCAGCAGTTTGCCTACCAATGTCTGAGGGTGCAGAGCTCTGTGGTAGGCAGCCTGCTGGCCTTGAGATAAAAGGCAGCCTGCCGGCCTTGATCATGTTAGTTAATGTAGTGAAGATGATGAAGAGAACCAGGTTTAACACTGTTAGAGAAGGTATTTACAAACAAGGCTAAAAAGAATCATGAAGTTTTGGATTAAAATTGGAGGTATTGATAGGAACTCATTGTTAAAAGTATATACCTATAGATATTTAGTTGTGGAATTATTATTATTACTATTATTTTGAGAAGGAGTTTCACTCTTCTTGCCCAGGCTGGAGTGCAATAGCACGTTCTCAGCTCACTGCAACCTCTGCCTCCCGGGTTCAAGTGTTTCTCCTGCCTCAGCCTTCCGAGCAGCTGGGATTACAGGCACACGCCACCATGCCCAGCTAATTTTGTATTTGTAGGAGAGACAGGGTTTCTCCATGTTGATCAGGTTGGTCTTGAACTCCCGACCTCAGGTGATCTGCCCGCCTTGGCCTCCCAAAGTGCTGGGATTACAGGCGTGAGCCAACATGCCTGGCCTAGGTGTGGAATTATTAAAGATACATGTATGGATGTGTGCGTTAAGTCTGTGCGTGGTGATACACACATGTTTTCTGGCTCCGTCCACTCCATAGGTCTAGAAGCATCGACACCGTAGAAGCAATGAGCACAGTAAACACAGAGCACATTGTACACTGAAGGAACCAGGGCTCTTTGGAGAAATTGTTGATTAGTTGGCTAGGGCATGGAAAATTCAAAATAAGCTTGGAATATCTTATTGTGCCAGAAAGTAAGAAAATGCTGAAAAAATGATAGAAACATGTCATGATATGTGAGCCACTTTGAAGGCCTCCACTGGCCAAATTCGGGACAATTGGAATCTCAAAATAGATAATAATAGTGATGGGATATAATCTATTGAATAAAATAGAAATCTATAGGTCTATACTGATATAACTAAATGAATGAATCAATAAATAATTGGGGGAAAAGAAAAGCTCTTCCTTACGGTAGAATGCTACTAATCAATGTAAAAAAAATTGATGAAATGGGAAAACACCACTTGCCCACCATCATTGTGGTAATTGATTCAGGAGAGGGTTGTCAATGCAGGCCAAGGCTGGTGAGTGGAGGTTAGATGAGGAACAGGATATTAACATAGTCCTGGACTAGCTCCCTATAAAATTGAATATATCAGTTACCAGGAGGAAAAATGTGACATTGTGGAGAAACCTAGTTAAAAAAACATGACCACTGATTTAAGGTTAACTACTTCACTGGCAGGTTGTATTAACATCAAGGGCCCCTGATGTGCAGCTTGGAGAAAAGTGCACAATTTCTGTGTTGTTGTTTTTCAACCAAGAAAGCATGACCTGAGTCTAGTAATTAGGAAACCTCAGGTCAAGTTCCAGTTTTTCCAGTTCAACCAATAATATTTAAAAACTGTGATGCTCAAGAAGAATATAGAAAGATTCAGGAAATCTTCCAGTTAGAGGAAAACTGAAGAGGTAAGAAAATTAAATGCAATGTGTACTCTTTTTCCTTTTTCTTTTTTTGAGGTGGAGTCTCACTCTGTTGCCCAGGCTGGAGTGCAGTGGCATGATCTTGGCTCACTGCAACCTCCACCTCCCTGGTTCAAGGGATTCTCCTGCTTCAGCCTCCCAAGTAGCTGGGATCCCAGGCATGTGCCATCATGCCCGGCTAATTTTTTTTTTTTTTTTTTGTATTTTCAGTAGAGACGGGGTTTTGCCATGTTGGCCAGGCTGGTCTTGAACTCCTGATGTCGGGTGATCCGCCCACCTCGGCCTCCCAAAGTACTGGGATTACAGGCGTGAGCCACTGTGCCCGGCTGCAATGTGTACTCTTGAAGGTAATCCTGGAACCAGACAGAATAAAAAGATCTCACTGGAACAGTTGGTGAAATTTGAATGGCCTTTGTGCGTTGGAAGGTAGTGTGGTATCAGTTATGATTTCCTAACTTGAGGGTTGTCTGGTGACGGTGATGGGACATCAGGACTGCAACTTGCTCAAATTGTTTTTTAAAAATGCTAGTAGCACACAATTTACCCATGTAACAAACCCGCACCTGTAGTCCCTGAATCTAAAATAAAAGTTGAAAGAAAGAAAAAAAAGGTAATAATGGACACACACAAACACACGTAGTAGTGTGTGAAAGAAGAGAGTTAACACCTGGGAAATTCTTTGTACAATCTACTTAAAACAAGGTGCTATTGACTGAGACCTATATGTGCAATGGTGACTTGAAAATCTAACTGAGGATCAATAGTCATTACTGCATTTCAGCACAATGTGTACGTATTTTTGTTAGCATTTGCTCTATTCTCTGCAATGCCTTTCCTTATTTCTGACTCAGTTTTTAAATTGGATCTGAAGCCTTCTTGACAATGTGACTGTATTTCTTGAAGGTGTGATCCATCAGACTCTGACCTTTCCCAGCCATACACAGGCCAAAGTGTGTGAGGTTATTTCTGTGGACTCGTAATGGTATATTCCTCACTTCGTGGCTGGTAATCGCTACATTACAGCTGTAAAAGACTTGCTGGGGTTGAAATTGAATGTTGAAGCTGGAAGAAAACCTATGAGATGTTGTAATCTAACCCATTCATTTTTTGCTGAGCATCGTGGGCCCCAGAGAGGTCAAGTAATTATCCTAACACAGGCATATCTCCTTTTATTGCTCTTTATTGCACTTCGCAGACACTGCGTTTTTTACACATTGAAGGTTTGTGGCAATCCTGCGTCCAGCAAGTCTATTGGAGCCATTTTTTTTTTCAAACAGCATATCCTCACTTTCTTTCTTTGTGTAACATTTTGTTAATTTTCATAATATTTTAAACTTTTTAAAAATTATTCTTATACCACTTATGGTGATCTGTGATTTTTGATGTTACTATTGTAATTGTTCGTGTACCACGAACCACACTCGTATAAGATGGCAAACTTAATTGACGAATGTTGTACATGTTCTGACTGCTCCACCAATCTGTTCCCCATCTCTCTCACTTTTCTCAGGCCTCCCTATTCCCTGAGACACAACAATAGTAAAATGAGGACAGGTAATAATCCTACAATGGCCTCTAAGTGTTCAAGCAAAAAGAAGAGTCACACATCTCTCATTTTAAATCTGAAGCTAGAAATGATTAAGTTTAGTGAGGAAGGCATGTCAAAAGTACAGACAGGCTGAAAACTAGACCCCTTGAGTTAAATGGTTAGCAAAGTGATGAATGCAAAGGAAAAGTTCCTGCAGGAAATTAAACATGCTACTCCAGCAAACACATAAATGATAAGAAAGCAAAAGAGCGGTATTGCTGACCTGGAAAAAGTTTTAGTGGTCTGAATAGAAGAGTAAATCTGCTACTAAATTCCTTTTAGCCAAAACCTCATCCAGAGCAAAGCCCTATCTCTCTTCAATTACATAAAGGCTGAGAGAGGCAAAAAAGCTTCAGAAGAAAAGTTTAAAGCTAGCAGTGGTTGATTAATGAAGTTTAGAGAAAAAAGCTATAACATAAATGTGCAAGGCGAAGCAGCAAATGCTGATGGAGAAGCTACAGCAAGTGATCCAGAAGATCTAGATAAGAGAATTAATGAAAGTGGTGATGCTAAAAGACACGTTTTCCAAGTAGATGCAACAGCCTTCTATTTTAGGATACCATCTAGGACTTTCATAACTAAAGAGAAGAAGTCAATGTCTGGCTTCAAAGCTTCAAAGGACAGGCTGACTCTCTTTTGAGTGGATGCTGCAGCTGGTGACTTTAAGTTGAAGCCAATACTCATTTACCATTCTGAAAATACTAAGGACCTTATGAATTATGCTAAATACTCTGTCTTTGCGTTATCAGTGGAACAACAAATCCTGGATTATATCACATCTGTTTATTTCAGAGTTTACTGAATATTTTTAGCCCACTGTTAAGACCTACTGCTCAGAAAAAAAAAGATTTCTTTCAAAATGTTACTGGTAATTGACAATGTATCTAGTCACCCAAGAGCTCTCATGGATGTGTACAAAGAGATTAGCGTGGTTTTCATGACTGCTAACACCACATCCATTCTGTAGCCCATGAGTTCAGGAGTAATTTTGACTTTCAAGTCTTATTATTTAAAAAATATATTTTGTAAGGCTATAGCTGCCATAGATAGCAATTTCTCTAATGGATCTGGGCAAAGTAAATTGAAAACCTTCTGGATTTGAGACCAGCTAGCCTGGTCAGCATAGTGAGACCTGGTCTCTACCGAAAAGAAAAATAAAAAAACTTGGCCAAACATAGTGGAAAGGAGTTGCCATTCCAGATGCTATTAAGAACATTTGGGATTCACAGGAGAAGGTCAAAATATCAACATTAACAGGAGTTTAGAAGAAGTTGACTGCAACCCTCATGGATGACTGAGGAATTCAAGACTTCAGTGGGAGAAGTCACCACAGATGTGGTGCAAATAACAAGAGAACTAGGATTAGAAGTAGAGCCTGAAGATGTGACTGAATTGCTGCAATCTCATAATAAAACTTAAACAGATGAGTTGTTTCTTATGGATAAGCAAAAACAAAAGTGGTTTCTTGAGATGGAATCTACTCCTGGTGAAGAAGCTGAGAACATTGTTGAAATGACCACAAAGGTTTTAGAATATTACATAAAATAACTTGAGGAAGCAGCAGCAGGGTTGGAGAGGACTGACTGCAATTCTGAAAGAAGTTCTACTCTGGGTGAAATGCTATCCAACAGCATCACATGCTACAGAGAAATCTTTGTGAAAGGTAGAGTCAATCGATATGGAAAAGTTCATTTTGTCTTATTTTAAAAGTTGCCACAGTTTGTCACCCTAAACTTCAGTAAACGCCATCCTGATTAGACAGCAGCCATTAACATCCAGGCAAGACCACCCTCCACCAGAAAAAATATTACAACTCACTGAAGGCTGAGATGATTATGAGCATTTTTTAGCAATGAAGTAGTTTTTAAAGTATGTACATTGTTTTTGCCCCCATAAGACATAATGCTACTGCACATTTAATAGACTATATTCTAGTATAAACATACCTTTTCTATGCACTGGAAAGCCAACAAATTTGTGTGACTTGCTTCATTGTGCTATTTGTTGTATTGTGGCAGTTTGGAACTGAATCCACAATATCTGTGAAGTATACCTATATGTAACTAGTGGCAGAATCATTATGGGTACCCTGATCTCTGACTTCCAGTCCAGTGCTCCTCAAAGCTGCTGTATAGTAATCCCGCTTTTGGTTCATATGTGCATAATGTAATTAGGTGCATAATATAAGTTCCACATGGTCAGGGATTTTTGTTTCGTTGACTAATGTATGCCATGTGCACAGAACAGTGTATGGCACATAATATGTGCACAATAAATACTTAAGAGTTTATAAATCAGATTTATTTCACATACTCATGACTAAACTAATCACTGGCAAAGAAAACAGAATTGCCTTGATTGATCTAGACAAGTTATTCCCAAAGTGTGGTTCCCAGATTAGCAGCATCAACATTACTTGGGAACTGGTTAGAAGTGTCCATTCTTTAGCCCCACCAGACACCTACTGAATTATAACCTCTGGGTTTGGGGCTCAACTATCTGTGTTTTAACAGGTTATCTGGATGATTCTAATGCAGGCTGAAAGCACTGGTTTCAGATTGACCCCTAACAGCAATGTGAACAAAACCAGAGGCAACTGGGGAGGCATCAACAATGAGTGCCACTGGTATTTCCATATTTTAACATTTGTAGCTAAGAATGATATTCTATTAGAAGGCAGAGAGTCATGCTCCATGAAAAAAAAGAGTTGAGGAACATCTTTCAGGGTTGGGGCTGTGAGGAGAGACCTTGGCTGCTCCCACTGCAGTAGTTGCTGCAGGAGAATAGCTGGTGCTGAAACCTACCAACCCTTCTCTCTGCCCACTTCAAAGTTTATTGCACGCTATAGCGTGCCCAGCCTCTGCTTTGACTCCAACAGGAGAGAAGGTCCATTGCACCCCTGAATTAATCATTTCATATTGCTGAGCCCATTTTCTCATTTGTAAAATGAGAAGTTTGGATTAAATGACTTTGAGTTTCTTCAAGTGTTTATATTTTGCATCTGTATCACTTCAGGGCAATACGGAGAGGAGGCTGCATGTAAGCACTCCTGTTTGAACTTGACTCTACATTTTAATCAGAGATGGAGACACAGCCCAGCCTTTCTTTTGGAATACAAATGTGGTATTATTAGTTTCTTTAAATCTATTCTATCAATACAACAATTATGTCTGAGAGTCCATCATTGTCAGTCATTTTGCTATCTGAAGATGCTAGATAAAAGAGTCTGCTTTCCTGAAGGAACACCTAGTCTAAAAGGAAATTATATAAGTAAACTGAAGTGTGAGAAGAGGGTAAAATTATTAGCAAAAAGGACGAAACAAACATAAATGGAAGTTACACTACAGGGAAGGCATGTCACTTGGGTGTTGTTTATTAAGGAATGTCAATAATCATATTGATATTTGAACAACATTGGGGATATTTAGCTTGATATTTGAACAACATTAGGGATAATTCAGTGAAGGCAGAAAGTTGTTAAACTTTCTTCTAAAATCAGAATGACTTCAAATAGTGTTGCAATTAATTTTCACTCTTTCTGATGCTCCAATTCATTGACTTAAAAGATTTCCCCTGTTTCTCTTATTCTACTAATAGGAACAAAATAATACTGATAAATGGACTTTAGGTGAACGAGTAACTGCAAATCACTATGATGGTTGTGCCCATTATGGAAAAACCAAAGGGCAGGAGGCTCAGAACAAGACAATGTCAGTGGTGTTTCCTTGGTCTCCAGGCACAATATTAGAAGAGTAATGGGTTTGGGGAGATGCACAGACGGTTGTCAGGCTGTTTCCTGTGCGATGGTGAATTGCCCCATTAATCACATGTTTAAGCATATTTTCATCAAACATGTCTTTCTATTGCTTTTATTTATTCAGCAATACTGAGAAGCCATAGTCACTTATAAAAAGGAGTATTCGGTATAATTCTAATTCTCTGTTTACTAGCCACTGAAGAATCCTCATTATTTTAGAAATTTTCAATTTATCAAAAACTTAAATTAGCTTGGGCAACACAGCAAAAACCCATCTCCACACAAAATTTTTTTTTATTAGCCATGCATGGTGGTGCACCTCTGGAGTCCCAGCTACTTTAGAGGCTGAGGCAGGAGGATTGCTTGAGCCTAAAAGTTTGAGGCTGCAGTAAACTGTGGTCATGTCACTGCACTCCAGCCTGGGTAACAGAATGAGATCCTGCCTCAAAAAAGGAAAAAAAAAAAACTAAACTAAACTAAATTAAAAAAAAAAAAAAACCAACCAAACTAACAGAAAACAAAATTTAATGGAAATTTTCCATTTAACTGTATTATGAATGTACATCTAAGTAAAATACCTAGTTTATTTGATTTCAGATGAAAGGATATCAATTGATTGTGGTAATGTTCAAGTGATAAGAAATATGACTGGTTATTTGTAAAATCAAGGGAATTAATGGGATATCTTTGATGAGCCAAACACTTGCTATAATCAGATACAATTTTAAGGGTTCTTTCAGGAAAATAACTGTGAACCATTGCCAAAAGGATGTTTATTGGGACAGCTTGAGTATTGCTTCAAGGGACAGTGATTGGGAAAAACAAGGGACACCAAAGGCAAATGGTTAGAAATAAAACCCTCCACTTCCTTAGAATAAAATTCCCGTTCCTCATTTTTTTTGTGAAAGTTTGCCACATGATTCCAACTCCAATTTCCGAGAGGCTAGGCTACTGGGCTGCTATGGGGAGTAGGTCCCAAGTTTAGGACTTCTGGGGTGACTAGAGTTGGCAGGAATGTCTGTGGCACATGAAGCTGACTTTACATCTTCCCATTTAGACCAGCTGTTTGATCCTACGCGGAAGGCTTTCCTTATTCTTTTCCATTTAAAAATTTCTGTACCTTCTGAATGGACGCTAGTGAATTATACCAGCATCTAGGGAGACTTTGTAGGAAAAAGTCCTGTGCCAGCCCTCTAAGGCAGAGGGAACTGTGTTCAAGTGAAATTTTGATGTGCGCATACATACATAGACGCACACACACTCACACGCCTTCCTGGTGAACACTTCTTGCAAATGCTCCTGCACTTGTTGGTCCTTATTGGCCCGTTGAACAATGTTTATTAAATACTCTATCAGGTTCACAAAAGGTATTGATGACATCACTAAGGGACTGAAAGTCAGTTCAAACCACTTACTCATTCTTACAACAGAATCAGGCTACAGTAACCATAAAGCCATTTATTAACACAGCAAAATTAAGAATACATTTTTAATTCCGATGGTAATGATATTTTGTCTAGAGGACATTGATTCTGTTTCACCATGCTGCTTCTGTAAACGGAAGGAAAACAAAATTATGATTCAAGTTACTAATATAATGAAAAATCATTTGTATTCCTTTTTATTACTTGGACTGACACCTGGTGAATAAGATAACCACATACTATTTAGAGGAGCTCTGCACAGAGAGGGAAGACAAAATCCTCATTAACCATCTGTCAAGGGTTTAAAATTATAATGTCACGGGGGCAAAATTTAATTTTACTAATAATGCAGGACCTACTTTAGCTAAGATAAATAACAAATTTTGTAACATGGAAAAGAGCTGTGTATTTCTTACTTAAAGGGCTTTTGGAAGGGTTATAGTTACAGGTAGTTCAAGAATGTTGACAAGGGAGGTTGGCATAGCTGAACATTTGAGACCTGTCAAAGTTAACAGATTCAGAGCATGACATGCTGGGACTGAAAGGAGGTGAAATGTCTTTAATGGATGTGTTGTCTTTTTTTCTCTCTATCAGTTGACTGAGCTTTGCACAGGGTATAAATAAGTATGCTGTGTGCAGCCTGTCACAGTCTGATGCCTCACATTGAATGTGATCTGGGTATTACATTTGAAACTTTCCTAATAACTCCTTTTATTCTTTATCTTAAGTGTGCTGGATATTGATATAAGGCCTTAGAGACCCAACCTGAGCTTTAAAGTTCAAGTTCTCTCCTCCAGGAAGAACTTTTGGGAGGTTAATCAATTAGGGTTCTTATAAGAGGCACAGGAAACATGGAGATCACATTCTGAAGAAAATTTAATGAAGGATAGTTTACAGAGGCATGTGCAGGACTTAGGAAATCAATAGGAGGTGCTGAGGTATCCAGAGACTACTAAGTGTGGAAACTAAGAAGCCATGTTCACTCCTAAGACCCCATGAGGTGGAAGCTGGAACCATGGAGAAGTGGCTGCCCTACTAGGAATATGAGTCATAGAAATACAGGCTTTTCCAGACCATGATGCCAGAATAGGGAAAGAGCTGAGGAAAAAAACCCATACTCTGTGTTTGCCACTTTCTAGTCCCTTGCTGACTTAGAAGCAAGAAGGGAAGGTAGCCTGGGTGACGAAATCCAAAGAGGCGTCCCAAGAACATGGTGGGAAGAAAACTGTAGAGAATACGAAGAGGTGATGTGCCAAAGAAGGATGAAAAGTGTATTAGTCTGTTCTCATGCTGCTGATAAAGACATACCCAAGACTGGGTAATTTATTAAGGAAAGAGGTTTAATTGACTCACAGTTCCACAAGATGGGGGAGTCCTCGTAATCATGGTGGAGGAACAAAATCACGTGTTACAGGCAAGAGAACTTGCCCAGGGGAACTCTCTTTTATAAAACTATCCCATCTTGTGAGACTTATTCACTGTCAAAAGAACAGCATGAGGCCAGGCACAGTGGTCCATTCCTGTAATCCCAGCACTTTGGGAGGTTGAGGTGGGCAGATTGCTTGAGGACAGCAGTTCAAGACCAGCCTGGCTAGCACGGTGAAACCCCATCTCTACTAAAAAATGCAAAAAGTTAGCTGGGCATAGTGGCATGCACCTGTAGTCCCAGCTATTTGGGAGGCTGAGGCACAAGAATTGCTTGAACCCTGGAGGTGGAGGTTGCAGTGAGCCAAGATTGCAGCACTGCACTCCAGCCTGGGTGACAGAGCAAGACATTGTCTCAAAAAAAACAAACAAACAAACAAACAAAAAAACAGCATGGGAAAGATCCACCTCGATGATTCAATTACTTCCCACCAGGTTCCTCCCACAATGCGTAGGAATTGTGGGAGCTATAATTCTATAATTCAAGATGAGACTTCGGTGAGGACACAGCCAAACCATATCAATAAGCACAGTGGATATGATTAAATGAAAGATAAAATGTATAAACAATTCAGCCTCCTTGCAGATGTTGTTCTGAAGAAATAAGTGATATGGTTTGAATGTTTGTCCCCTCAAAATTTCATGTTGAAATGTAATTCCCAATGTTGGAGTGGGGCCTGGTGGGAGGTGTTTGGACCATGATGGTGGATCTCTCATGAAAGGCTTGTTGTCCTTCCAGCCCTAATGAGTTTATGCAACATCTGGCTGCTTACAAAGGAGCCTGGAACTTCCCACTCTCTTGCTCCCTCTCTCTCTTGTTCCTGCTCTCTCCGTGTGATGTGCCTACTCCCCCTTCACCTTCTGCCATTATAATAAGCTTCCTGAGTCCCTCACCAGGAGCAGATGCAGAACCATGAACCAATTAACCCTCTTTTCTTTATAAATTATCCAGTCTCAGGCATTTCTTGATAGCAACACAAAAATGTACTAACACAAAAAATTGGTATCGAAGCACAGAACACTGCTACAAAGAAACCCGAAATGTAGAAGTGGCTTTGGAACTGAGTAAGAGGCAGAGGTTGGAAAAGTTTGGCGGGCTCAGAAGACTGGAGCATAAGGGAAAGTTTAGAACTTCATAGAGACTTGTTAAATGGTTATGACCAAATGCTAATAGAAATATGGACAGTGAAAGCTAGGCTGATGAGATTTCCTATGGAAATTAAAAAGTTATTGGGAAGTAGAGCAAAGGTCTCGGCTGCGTTATGTCCATGCCCTAGGGATCTGAGAAAGTTTGGACTTAAGAGTAATAACTTACGGTATCTGTTGGAAGAAATTTCTAAGCAGCAAAGTGTTCAAGATGTGGTGTGGCTGCTTCTAACAACCTATGATCAGATATGGAGCAAAGAAATAAAGCTGGAATTTAAGTTATTTAGTATCATGTTTAAATTTGGCTCAGGCCACTGCAAGCCATAAGCCTTGGCCGCTCCCAAGAGATGTTAAGTCTGTGGTTGCATGAAATACAAATGTGAAGGGGGCTTAGCAGCCTCCACTTAGATTTCACAGGATATATGGGAAAGCCTACATGATCAGACAGAAGCCTGCTGCAGCAGCAGAG